>NC_000007.14:85840112-86143142 GCF_000001405.40 Homo sapiens
ATTACTACATGCCAAATGAGGAGTACTATGCCAAATAGTATGCATATCTGTCACTTACAACAATATAATAATTTCTGTCCTTTGCTTATATGTACTTTTTAAAAAATTTTAGTACGTATGTATGTTTTTTATGTGGGTTTATTGCATAATGGTATGGATTAGGCTTCTAGTGTACCCATCACCCAAATGTTGAACATTGTATCAGATAGGTAATTTTTATTCTCTGCAACTCAACATAAATTATTTCATTCATCACTAATCTTCCTGTTTCAGAAAGCTTAATCTTGTGTTTTCAGTAAAATTATAGTCAAATTCAGGGATCTTTAGAGATACCTAAATAAGGTAAGCTTGCTAAAGTATAAGCTTCAAGAGGTTCAGGGTCTTTATTTTGTGCCAGTACATGTCAGAGAGTAGATACTGAATACATAATTGTTGGAAAAAACTTAACATTGAAAATTCAGAAGAATTCAAGATTGAGTCTCCATTTCTCTCCTTACTGCCAGAAATGTGTTGTCCGTGTCTCAGTGTTTGTGTCTCAGTTTAATACAGCCGTATTATGCAACATAATTTACCTCATCTATTTCTCCAGTTCTCGCACGACACATTCATGATTTGAAATGTAAACACATTACTGCCTTATCCTGGCAGGATGTTCCACCCTGTATCTATGCTACGGATTTGCTTTATGTCAACTCCAAAACCCCTTACACACTCATTGGCCTCTTTCTCTTTCAACTAATTTACATGCTGTCCGTGAAGCAGAGATAAAATATTCAGTCCCCTCAAAGTGTGCTGAACACACAGCTTTTTTCAGACTTATCTCCTGGTTAAGGCAGCATAGTAGTGAAGACCACAGACTCATAACCAGATTCAACTGCTTACCGTATGTTTGGGCCAAGATATGTGACTCCTCTAGATCTGCTTCCTCAACTGTAAAATGAGGACAATAATAGGACTTACATCAAAATGCTACTGAAGATTAAAAAAGTTAATATATGTGAAGTGTTTGTGGCATAAAAATATTATATGAAAGTGTTCATTTTTCTTTTTCTGTTACCTCCTCCAGCGCCTCATATAGTCAGTACTATTTGCTATTCTGGAATTATATATGGGATTACCTCTACAAAAATGGGTAACAACCAGTGAATTTACAGATGAATCTTTAGAATTAAAACTGACTATAAAATGTGTGTATGCTCATGTTTAAATTGTACAGTAACAATAAAGAGTAGATTCAGCAATGTGAAGAAAATTAGGCTTGTACCTTTGCCCGCACACAAAAAGAAGAAAATAAAAGAAAAAGGAAACTAGTACATAAACTAAAACAATAATGAAAAATGAGATCAATTAAACACTAATTGACTTACTATAGTAAGTAAAGAAAAGTAAATAACTGATTCTTTGTATAATGAATCACAGAAACTGAATATGGTTATATACATCTTAAAGTAAACAGACATTAGAATTATCATGAATACTGTGCAATTATCAAATGAAGTAACCTGGAACCACTAAATCATTTATATATTATAATGTCAAATATATAACTGAAGCAAGAGATGCATATTCAATCCCAATCTGGGCACAGAAGTAGGCACCCTTGCGCCCAATGTTGGATAAACCATAGATGAACTAGAGGGGAATAGTGAGTGTTGAACTAGAATTAAAGTCAAAAGAATGAAAGGAGGAGTTTGTTGTTTTGTATAAATGTACAAATCAAAGCATGTTTGTTTGAGAACATATGAGATACTGCCAACCTGTTGTTTCTCTCACTGACTTTTGTATAGGAGGAGTTGTTAATAAATCATGTAAATATAATCATTTTACCTAATTTGTTCTTCTAACTCATTAATATTGCTGCATAGTAGATAGCAAGACCTAGAAAAGGGAAAAAAATTTCTCTCCTTGAGTGCCTTAAATGAGTTGACCTAAACTTGAAGGAGTCTCAGTACCTATTCCTTTTTTAATTTATATACATTTAAGGGGTACAAGTGCAGTTTTGTTACTGTATATGTATAAATGTATTTATATACATTTAAGGGGTACAAGTGCAGTTTTGCATAGTGCTGAAGTCTGGGCTTTTAGTGTAACCACCACATAAATAATGTACACTGTACCAATTAAGTAATTTGTTATTCCTCTCTCTTCTCCATCCACTCTTCTGTATCTCCAGTGTCTCTTATTGCATATTCTATGTCCACGAGTACACATTGTTGAGCTTCTTCTCATAAGTGAGAACGTGCAGTATTTGCCTGTTTCTGAGTTGTTTCACTTAAGATAATGGCCTCCAGTTCCATCCATGTAGCTGTAAAATACATGATTTCACTCTTTTTTATAGCCGAATAATATTCCATTGTATATATGTACCACATTTTCTGTATCCATTTATCTACTGATGGATACATATACCAAATATTTGCAACTGTTAATAGTGCTGAGATAAGCATATGAGTGCACATATCTTTTTGATATACTGATTTCTTTTCTTTTGGGTACCTATACAGTAGTGGCATTGTGGGATTGAATGGTAGCTCTATTTTTAGATGAGAAATCTCCATGCTGTATTCTGTATACTGTATTTTGCATTCTTATTTACATGCTGACCAGCAATGTATAAGTGTTCCTTTTTCTCTTCATCTTCAACATCTGTTACTGTTTCACTTTTTCATAATAGCCATTCTGACTAGTGCAAGGTAATATTTCATTGTGGATTTAATTTGCATTTCTCTAACAATTAGAGGTAACAATTTTTTTTCATATGTTTGTTGGTCATTTGTATATCTTCTTCTAAAAAAAGCCTATTCATGTCTTTTGCCCACTTTTTAATGGGGTTATTTTGTTGTTGTTGTTTAGTTGTTTGAGTTCCTTATAAATTCTGCATATCAGTCCCCTGTTGGATGTACAGTTTATAAATAATTTGTCTCACTCTGCAGGTTGTCTGCTAACTCTGTAGGTTATATCTTTTGCTGTGCAGGAGCATTTTAGTTAAATTAAGTCCCTTTTGTCTATTTTTGTTTTCATTGCTTGTACTCTTCAGGTCTTAGTCATGAATGCTTTGCCAAGCCAGGCGCGGTGGCTCACGCCTGTAATCCCAGCACTTTGGGAGGCCCAGGCAGGCAGATCACGAGGTCAGGAGATTGAGACCATCCTGGCTGACACAGTGAAATCCCGTCTCTACTAAAAATACAAAAAATTAGCCTGGCGAGGTAGCGGGCGCCTGTAGTCCCAAGTACTCCTGAGGCTGAGGCAGGAGAATGGCGTGAACCCCGGGGGGCGGAGCCTGCAGTGAGCCTGAGCCAAGATCGCGCCACTGCACTCCAGCCTGGGCGACAGAGCGAGACTCCGTCTCAAAAAAAAAAAAAAAAAAAAGAATGCTTTGCCAAGACCAAATGTCCAGAAGAATTTTCCTGACCCGGCTCGGTGGCTCACGACTGTCATCCTAGCACTTTGGGAGGCCGAGGCAGGTGGATCACCCGATTTCAGGAGTTCGAGACCAGCCTGGCCAACATGGCAAAACCCTGTCTCTACTAAAAATACAAAAATTAGCCGGGCATGGTTGCAGGGGCTTGCAATCCCAGCTACTCCGGACGCTGAGGCAGGAAAATCGCTTGATCCCAGGAGGCGGAGGTTGCAGCGAGCCAAGATGGCGCCACTGCACTCCAGCCTGGGGGATAGAGCAAGACTCTGCCTCCAAAAAAAAAAAAAAAAAAAAACAGTTTTTCTTAAGTTTTCTTCATATATATATATATATTTATTTATTTTCAAATCTTACATTTTGACGAAGTCAACAAAAATATACAACAGGGAAATGATGCTCAATTAATGATGCTCAATTAATGATGCTCAGAAAATTGAATTGTCATATGCAGAAGAATGGTACTGAACCCGTATCTCTTATCATCTACAAAAATCAATTCAAGATAGATTTTACTCTTGCTTTAATCCTGGAGGTTTTTGATAGCTCAGAACAGGGAGTAGGATAAGAAGTCAACCATAGTTTCTTCCCAGCTGTCAATAACAGATAATTTTAAAATTTAAACTCTTCAGAGCATTCAAATGGTACTTATATACAATGGAGTACTATTCAGCCATAAAAAGTGAGATCCAGTCATTTGCAATATGGATGGAATTGGAGGTCATTATGTTAAGTGAAATAATCCAGGTGCAGAAAGACAAATTTATTTGTGGTAGCTAAAAATTAAAACAATTGAACTTACGGAGATAGAGAGCAGAAGGATGTTTATCAGAGGCTGGAGGGGGTGGGTCCTTGGGAGGGAAGCAGTGATGGTTAATGAGTACAATACAATAGTTAGAAAGAATAAATAATATCTGGTATTGGCTAACCCAACAGAATGACTATAGGAAAAATCATTTGATTGTTCATTTAAAAATAACTAAAAGAGTACAATTAGATTGCTTGAAACACAAAGGATAAATGCTTGAGTTGGCAGATACCCTATTTACCCTGATTATTATGTACCACATCCCTGTATCAGAATATCTCATGTAACCCATAAAGATATACACCTATTATGTGTCTACAAAATTTAAAAAAGATCATTGTCTATTTCTAAAACCAAACAACCAAGTAACAAACAAACAAAACTTTAGCAAGCTTTAAAGACTCTGCAAACTTGATCTACGTAAAGGATATCAGTGACTAAATAGCAAGAAACATTATACTATAAAGTTAAATATTGGAAGCATCTCTTTGAAGTCAGAATGTCTGTAGCAAGATTAGTATTTACCACTTTGAGAAGTTGAAGACAAAACAATGAGATAATACATAGGACAACTGGGTATAACTTTTGGAAATAATTATTTTCAGAAATATAATTATACAATTATGAAAACCAAGATAAAATGAAAATTCCAAGAATATAAAACAAAAAAAATGAAAGTGGCCATCTAGGAGGCAAATGTACACAAGAACATGGCTTTCCTCTATTTCAAAAATAACCTTTCCAGAAAGGTTGGCACTTAGCAAATTACCTTTACTTTCCAAATTACAGGGGAAAATGTACCTTCTGTATTGTCTGAAACTGATTCTATCTTTCTTACTAGTCCCTGCACTGCTGGGCAATATTAAGAACACGGGGAAGTGAGGAAAATTTGAACTCGCTTATTAAGGGAACATTTCTGATGTATTATTTTGACTTAAAGCATACTCTAGCAACAAGGTAAGTTACTTTAACATTAAGATACTTTATCTTAGTTATATTGTAAGGTGCTGGAATAAATTCTCGTTGCCACAAGACCTTCTATCCACAAAACTCATAGAAATTGTCCTAGGTATTGAAAGCTGAAACAAACAGTTCATGTAGGTCTGTTGCCCAGTTTTAACACTAGAGCTGCCTAAAACCTTCTCTGGTTTTATTCTGAAGAATAGTTCCTCACGTCTGATTCTGAGATTTTGTGGGAATATATCTTTTTTGTCAATTTCTCATGGCGAGAACTACTGAGAGGTAGATTTAGGATAATTTAAATCCTCAAATTCTCAATGAAATGGTTCTGTTCACTTGGTGTCACCACATCAAACAGAAATGTAATTCAGTTTTAAAAGTGAAAGATAACACTCAAGGCAGAAATAAGAATGAAGAAAACAAAATATGTTTCTAGCTGGCTATCGCAAACTGTGATTAAATGTTTGTGCTTCACAAAAGCTGAACCACAATTTGTCAGTCATTTTCCCCAACAAATTCTGGTTTTGGCATCTAGCCAATGACATTAAATTCATTAACTATCAGACCATCAAAAGACGAGGTCTTTAAAATCTATTAGATAACAAAGGTGCCCTATTCAATAAGAGTTTTTTAATTTTTAAAATGGAAGACTTCAATTCTTCAATCCCCTTCAGACATAAAAGTTTTAAGATCAAGTTATCATATTTAGGACATACTTTAATGGTACATTAAATGTTATAAGCTGTATATTCTACTGGGATATATTCATTAAACTTAAAAGCAAGCTATTTATGATATCTAGATGCATAAGTAGTGGTAAAAGGAAAAATGTAAAGATAATGCAGTATATATGCAAACATTCAATAACAGTATTTTTTAACTCCTAGCCACTTTAAAACATATCAGTACCTGCTGACCATTTCCTAAGTAGCAGTATGTAATTTATGCCTGAAATCTATGGTACACAAAGATAAAAAATCCAGTGATATATAAAATATACATGCCAACAGTTTTTCAATTTTTTAAAATTTCCATAATTTAGTGACTTTTTTCAAACACATAGAAAATAGAAAAGGAAAACAGTAACTTTTCAAAGGGGGAAACCTTGTGAACACCAACCTAATATCATTAAAATATGTAGAACCAGTAGTATTGTCAACTCACTCATTCCTTATATTGGTAATTTGTGTCTTCTCTCTTTTTTACATATTCAGTATTGTTAGAGATTATCTTTTTAGTGATCTCAAAGAAGCAGCTTTGATTAATTAATTAAGTGTACTATTACTGTTTGTTATTTTATTAATATCTGCTCTGATCTTTATTATTTCTTATTTTCCTGCCTTGGGTTTCATATTCAATGAAAGTATCTTATAAGTAACATATAACTGATTCTTGCTTTATTGTCACATCTGACAATTTCTGCTTTTTAAAAGTTGTCTTAAGTTGATATACATTTGTTTTTTTAATTGGGGTTTTTAAATTATTTACATTGAATGTAGTTATTGGTATAGTTGAACTTAAACTGCCGCCTTTTATTTGCTTTCTATTTCTTCCTTGGTACTTTCTAAAATACTTGTGCCATGAATTGGGTATTTTGTCTAAAATTCCATTTCATCTTCTTTATTGACTGTAACAGATTTACCTCTTTGTTTTTCTGGAGTCTGCATTAGGGTTTATAGCATATATCTTTAACTTAGCATATATCTTTAACTTCCACAGTCTTTCTGCAAATGATATACTACTTCACATAGAGTGAAATAAACTTATCACAGTACACTTTGACTTCTCCCCTCCTGATATTTATGCTATTGTTGTCACATGTCACACTTCTATATACATAAGTTAAAATATCACAGGTCATCTTACTACTTTTGCTTTAAATAATCACCTAACTATTAAGATTAATAAATGAAAACAATCTACTATGTTTACAGACATAGTAACCATTCCTGGTGCTCTTCATTCTTTTGTGTAAATCCAGATTTCCATCTGGGAATATTTTCCTTTTGCCTAAAGGAAAGCCTTTAACATATTTTTATTATGGTATTCTGGTGACCTTTGTGTGTGTGTGTGTGTTTTCTACATTTGAAATAGTCTTAACTTCACCTTCATTTGGTCAGTTATTTTATTTTTTAAGTAGAATCCTAAGATAGCATTATTATTTTAACACTTAAAAGATGTTACTGTAATGCCTTGTGATTGCATAATTTCTGATAAAAAAGCTGACTTTCATCATTAGGTTTGTTTCTCTGAACAAAAGTGCTTTTAGTCTCTGGCCGCTTTTAAGACTTTTTTTTCTATATCACATTTAAAGTATTTTGTTTGCCTTAGTATCATTTATTTTATCTGTGTGTGTGTGTGTGAGTGAGTGTGTGGGTGTGTGTGTGAGACAGAGAGAGAGAGAGAGAGAGACAGGGAGAGAGAGAGTATGTGTGTGTGACCGCAAATATGAATGCACATTCTTGGGGTTAATTGATTTTGGATCTCTGGGTAAACATTTTTAGTCAAATCTGGAAAATGTCAATTAATTATTTTTCAAATATTTTCCTGGTGTCCTTGGGGAAACCCAATTTTATATTTTTCAGTTACTTAAAGTTATGACCACAAATCACTCATGCATTAATATCTTTTCAATTTTTTTCTTCTTATATTTGATTTTGGATCATTTCTATTGTTATGTATTCTCATTTACTAATCTTTTATTTTGCAGTGTTACGTGCCATTAATCTCATCCAATATATTTTTCCTTTTACACATTGCTGTTTTCATCTCTGGAAGTTTGATTTAATCTTTTTACGTCTTCCATGCCTCAATCTCTCAAACCTCTTGAACATATTTAACAGTTTTAATGGTATTGTCTACTAATTCTTTCATCTGTGTCGTTTCTGAAAATCATCGTTTCAGAATCATCATACTTTCATCATACTTTCTTCTGTTCAGGTGTTTCAGTCAGGTGTTTCGGTCAGAAATATTTTCCCAGATAATCTATCTTGTTGGAATTCTAATTACTATATTTGAATTACATTTGTACCTCTTTTGTTTTAAAATAAAAATATTTTCCTATAGCATTACTATATTTATTATGTTATTCCCGTCTAAAATAGGTCTAGGTTTAGTTAAGAGAAAGCCATAGTGAAAAAAAAAAAAGCGGTAAAATAGACTTAAAAATTCATCTAAAAAAGATCTTTGGGTATGTACTGGCACATAGAGCTAGCTGAGAACAAACAAGTGAGAAGCATAAAAGGGTTTTGAGTGAGAAGCATAAAAGGGTTTTGAGTGAGAAGCATAAAAGGGTTTTGAGTAATGCCAAAGAAACATTGAGTTTAGACTAAAAAATCCTGTGATTGTTGAAAGTCTTAAAATAATACACTAAATTCTGCAGAGATGGTGAAGGAATTTGCTCCTCAGTGATCTGGAAAATTTTGGAAAGGTTTTGTGAACAGTAAAATAAAATTCGCTACAGTCCAAGGAGGAGTTTTCTTATTTGCTGTAAAACACTGTGGAATGCATTATCCATTAAAATGAGAGACCTAGCAAATGAAGAGCTGTGTTATAAACTCCTTTTAGAACTCCACCCCTAGAAAAAAGCAAAATTTTTCTTTTTCCTCTGGAATTATTAAAGTGCTGAATCAAATTACCAAGTACTTGTATACATTTGCATAAGTAATTAGCTTTTTTTTTTTTTTAATACTCTCTGTCTCACTCTGTCACAATGGTGCAATGGAGGTCATGGCTCACTGCACCCTCAACCTCCCTGGCTCAAGCAATTCTTCCACTTCAGCAACCCTCACAGTCCTGCTTAAATGTGACATGGAGTATCAGCTTTGCCCAAGCTGGTCTCGAACTCCTGGGCTGAAGTGATCCTCTTGCCTAGCCCCACAAAGTGCTGAGATTACAGGTGGAAGCCACCACACCCTGCCAACTTTTATTTTCATGGAAATTTTCAGGAATCTCTATGGTTTTAAAAGTTGTACTGAATATGTGAATTTTATTACAATTTGCCTACAATATTTTTGGAAAGTAAAAGTAAATATTATTCACTTAAATAATCAATGAATAATAAATTTGCTGTGGGAATTGATTTTAGATTATAATTCCTCATAAGCCTCTTTATTTGTTGTTCAAAAGATATGAAGTGAGTACAGGTGTGCTTTATGTGTTGCGGGACATTAACTCAGAACCAAGATTAGCATATTAGACAACATATTGCTAGATAAAATGTTGTTTTGTGTTTTGTTAGACAGCTGAATTTTAAGGGCTGAATATTTCCGGATTTCAGGCAAAAATTTTACATATACATATCTGTATGTGTATATATATATGTGTGTGTGTGTGTGTGTGTGTGTGTGTGTTAGGCTTTACCTGTTGTGTTTACGTTTCATAACATCAGTATCATTAGATATGGGCTGCAGTCATGATGTAGATCTTATTTTCATTTATGTATTTAAAATTTGTATCCTAAGATAGCCACATGTAAAGAAAATTGGATGCTGAGAACATGGATAATGACTAAAAGTCCAGTGAGTACAAAAAAAACCATGATGTACTCAGAAGGTAAATATTCAAAGAGTTTAATATTCATAAGTTAATGCATGAGATACAAGGATGTGGTGATTTAGATTGAAGAGAACATAACAGGTTGAGTGCTGAAACGAAAGTGAGAAGGTTAATCCTAGAAATGTGTTTTATGAAAACAAGTTGCAGAGTTAAAATAAATATTGTACTGGGCTGAAAAAAAAATTCAATAGGTTTCCTAAAGATATTCTTCAATATGCATGTACTTTGTGAATCATAAAAAGTATGTGGTAAGGACATGTAGGGGTATACTATGAAGAATTTTCCTACCTCTGGCAATGAAAGTGTTGCTAATGAAGACTTTTTAGCTCCAATTTTCCAGGTAATGGACTTAGAAAAAATGTTTGACTCTACAAATAGAAGCAGTAATTATAGGAAAGTCAATGAGATAGATACTACAATGTAACTAGTATTAGCAGTGATAATAAAATATAACATGTTCCCTTTGAAATCCTTACTGGCTTTACAATGAATAAAACTGATGAACCTGGAATGCATATGTTGGGTACATTTCAAATGATGCTTTAGCTATATTAATTTAATTATTTATTCTTATTTTTTTTCTAGCCATAATGTTGTTCCATTCACTTTAGCTATATATGCTTGTATTTAAAGTAAAGAGGCACTATGAACAATTTCAAATACCTTGTACTGCCATGCAGTTTTTTGCAAATGTAAGTAATATGTGTCAGCCTTATGCAGATGTGGAGCACAGAACAATCACAGTACCTTGGAGAGAATTGCAAAGTTTGTGTTGGATGCACACTTGTAATGTTTTAATATTAATGGCAGTGCTCACACCAGATATTGGCCATGCTGTTTATTTCCCTGGACAGATAAAATGGCTGGAAATCAAAAGATAACTCATAACGTGAGGATAAATGAATTGGAAATGTGTCAGAAATGATTTATTTGAAAGAATATTTGACTAGGCCTCTAATTCCAGTGATACTGAGCTGGTCATTTAATCTCCATAAGTTTGCATAATGAGAAAGTTGTAAGAGGTTTTCACTGAGCTAGCCACAGTTCAAAAAGTTTATTAAAATGTTTGATCAACTTGAAAAATAAGAAAGCTATTATTTTCCAAATATATTTTTGTGTGGCCAAATACTTGAGGACAATTTAATGATCATTTTAATTTTATTATGATGCACCTTATTAAAAATTATGCTCGGCCGGGCGTAGTGGCTCACTCCTGTTATCCCAGCGCTTTGGGAGGCTGAGGCGGGCAGATCACCTGAGGTCAGGAGACCAGCCTCATCAAAATGGTAAAACCCCGTCCCTACTAAAAATACAAAAATTAGCCGGTCATGGTGGCGGGTGCCTGTAATCCCAACTACTCAGGAGGCTGAGGCAGGAGAATCGCTTGAACCCGGGAGGCGGAAGTTGCAGTGAGCCGAGATCACGCCACTGCACTCGAGCCTGGGCGACACGGCAAGACTCCGTCTCAAAAAAATATATATATATTATTCTCATTTCATAACATGAAGATATAACTTTCTACTTTGCGAATATATAGTTTAGCATAATTAATCTTTCTTTGTAAATATAATGACATAAAGAGGTTATTAAATTCATCATATTCAAGGTTTCTCCATCTTTAATTTATAAGAAGCTCTTCACAAAACATTCTATTAAATGACTCTAGTAGAAGTAAAAATGAGTTTAAGGCCAAATTAATTGAGCCTCATGAATTATGATCAGTATCGGAATACATTTAAAACCCAAGGAGCTATTCTTGCCAAACGCTAATAATCAAGCAAGAATCACTTCAAAAATTTTAATAGTTTTTGAAATTAATAGACATTTACTCACTGGAAATTTTGTTTCCTTTTAATTTTCTTGATATTTGAAGTCCTTGCCGATTTACTTGTGCTGAGCCATTTAAAAAGTGTTCTACCACCATCTAGTGTTGTCAAATAGAAGTTTCACCACTTCAGTTACTAGATCTAATTCATAAAAGGTTAGTTGAAATTGTATATCATTTTGATAATGAGATATACAAAACACGAGTATCAACACTTAAAATTGGCATTACTGGCTTTGTAGGAGAAAGATAAAGTATACAAAACAGTGCCTCATATTACGGAAAATAATGCATTCTGTTTAATATTCAACAGGAATATTTACTGAGATATTTTATTTCTAAACTAGAAAAGAGGAAAATAATTGGGAATCTTATTTTAAATGCACTGAAATATATAGGATATTAAATATTATAGCAATGAAAATTTGCCTATACTAAAACTCGATCCAGTCTTCACTGTTCACTCCTATGTTAATTTAATATTGAAATGTATGTTAATGAATTCAAAATCATAATTGCTTGTTCAAAATTCCAAATACTGTGTTAGTAATTTCTGATATTAGTGTACATATGCTTTTGTGTGTTATGTATCTATTATCATCAGTATTTATAAGCCGATTCAATTTCCTTTCAAGTTTTAATTCGGATCCGTTTGCATTCCATATCTTGATTAAATATATTTTAATTCATCTGCAGTTTCTCATAATTTGACATTTGAATATTATAATAGATTATTACCTTTTTAAAGCAATTGTATTAGACTATTTTGGGCTAATACAGTAAGTATTAATCCAAAGGTAATGAGGTTGGGCAATTTATGAAGAAAAGATGTTTAATTGGCTAATGGTTCTGCAGGCTGTAAAGGAACTATGGCACCTGCTTGGCTTCTGGTGAGTCCTCAGGGAATTTTTGCTCGCTATGGAAGGCGAAACAGAAGCTGGTATGTCACATGAAAAGGGGAACAAGAAAGCAGTTAGGTTACCGAGCAGGGGGAGGTGCCACACTCTTTAAATAAATTAAAAAAAAAATTATGAGTGAACTCACTAAGGAGAACTCATTACCATGGGAAAGGCATCAAGTCATTCATGAAGAATTACTCCATCCCATTGACCAAAACACATCCCACTAGGCTTCCCGCCAACATTGAGGATCACATTTCAAAGTGAGATTTGGAAGGAATATACATCCTAACAATATCAGCAATTAATCAGTTAGTAATTGTTGAGCATTTCTATGCATCCAGTTTCCTAACTCTTATAACCTCGGGGCAGTAATATTCTGGTTAATTCAAAATAGTTTGGCCTTTTATTTTTAGTTAACCTGTTGACAGTAGAATCGGTATTTAAAAATTTAATATCGACCAAGTATAAAAATGTAGCAATCAAAGACCTATTTATGGGCAAATGTTAATAGGTTTCTAAAAATTGCTACTGAGGTGAATATCTTGTGTTAAGGAACAAGGTCATGTCTTCATTTTATTGAAACTTCTTGATACTTATGATCCATTAGCAGGCACAGAAATTTGCCAAGTGTTCTACTATTCCTCATTATTATAAGCCCACTGGGTTCAGATTTTGGCACATGACTAAAGAGTCCTATGAAAAAACACATTTCTAAGCTTATTATATTTTATAACAATGAAGTTTTGAAAATAATAAGAAATAAAATCAGAAAAGGTAAAATAAAAGAAAATAATAAAATCCACCTTAGAGTCGAGGGTAATACTCTATTTCTATAATTTGATCTCTAGTCTTCTGCCATGCCTAAATATGTATATAAAAGGACAATGCTGAAGTGCTTTAAATACAACCTATAAGTTCATTTTGCCTGACTTTACTCCTCTGTTCTGGGCCTATTTCCTCAAATCCAGACTCATGTATTAAACAGATTATTCAACATTTCTACTTGAACATTTACCAGGCATTTCACAGTAAACATTTTCAAAACTAAGGCCAACTTCTTTCTTCATAATGTGCCCCTTCCTAACATTTCCATTTCAGTTGCCAGTAACTTACATCCTCATGTTGTGTAATGCACAAACCTTGGCATTGTCTTTTACTCTTCTATCACATCCCACAGCTCTCAGTAACTTTTAAGTATCACTCAAGGCTGGTGACTTTACACCAAGTCCACAGCTACCTCCTTTGCCTAAGCCACCTGCAATAGAGTCTTAACTGGTATTTCTATTTAATTATTTTTCATAGCTTCCTCCTCCATAGTTTTATCTCAGTCTTATTTCAACAATCTTTCCAAATTATCAGAAGAATCTTTTTAAATCCTAACTGTAATCATGTTATGCTGCTTCTTAAAACTGCCAGTGACTCTTCATATTATTCAGAGGTTAATTCAAAATCTTTGCAGTGATCTATATAGCCCTACACATTCAGCCTCCCAAAACATTACCTTTTTAACATCATTTAATTATCTTCCTCACTCTCTTTTCCAAGCACTTTGCCCTCCTTTTCCTTCTTCAAACACACCATGGATGCTTCCATTAGTTATTGCATTTTCATTTATCTAAACTGCTCCTCCCCAGCCCTTATGGCTCTGTCCTTGACTTCTTTCCAGTTTGGTACTTAAACATAATCTTAAACGAGGATTTTCTGCATCTATCTGTCTACAACATCCTCTTGTAACAACCCCCCAATGTTTATTACTCCCTGTTTTATCTTCCTTCACAGTGCTTATCATTTTGCATGCCTATTATGATACTCTTTTGTTGATTTTGTTATATATCATCCTATCTAGAGCATAATTTTAGGAAAATACAAAACATCTTAGTTTTTTTCATGCATTGCTATATTCCATGTGAATAGTTTGGTTGACCATTTTATCATTTTCCTGTTGGCTATTTATATGTATTTTTTCAGAAATAACTAATCAATTATTTGCCCACTTTTTAATTATTTGTTTTCTTGATATTGAGTTGAGTTTCTTATGTATTTTAAAATTAACCTTTTATCAGGTATAAGTTTTGCAAATATTTTATTTTTTGTGGTTTCTCTCTTTACTCTGTTGACTGTTGACTTTGCAGTGTAGAATATTTTCAATTTGATGTAATCCTACTTGTAATTTTTGCTTTTGTTTCCTATGCTTTTGGAGTCATATCCCAAAAAATATGACCTCGGCCAATATCATGGAGCTTTTTGCTGGTTTTCTTCTAGTTATTTTACAGTTTCAGGTCTGACATTTAAATCTAAACCATTTTGAGTTGATTGGTGTCTAGGGTGTTATTATTCTACATGAAGATATTCAGTTTTCCCACCATTTATTATTAAGGATATTTCCATCTCCCCATTGTTGAAAAGTGTCTCTTGACACCTTGTTAAAAATCAATTGGCTATAAATGCATGGAATTATTTCTGGACTCTATTCTGTCTCATTGTTTTATGTGTCTGGTTTTTTTGCCAGTATATGCTGTTTTGGTTACTGTGTCTTTGTGATATAAAGTAAAGTAGTGTAATGCCTTCAACTTTGTTCTTTTTGCTCAAGATTATTTTGGCTATTCGAGGTCTTTTGGGGCTTCAAATGAATTTTAGAATAGTTTTTTTCAATTTTTTCAACAAAATTCTCTTGGGATTTTGACAGGGACTTTATTGCATCTACAGATAATTTTGGGTAATATGGATAATTTTAAAATATTAATTATTTTATTGCATGAACATCTGATGTCTTCCCATATATTTGTAATTTCTTTGATTTCACTCATGAAAATTTTAGTTTCCAGTGTACCAATCCCTTACCTCTTTGGTTAAATTTATTCCTAAGTATTTTATCTTTTTTGATACTATTGTAAATGAATTTTTTCTCTTGATTTTCTTTGGATTGTTTATTGCTAGTTTAGAAATTCAACTAAATTTTGTATGCTGGTATTATTTCCTGGTCCTTATTGAATTTATTATTTCTAACAATTTTTATGGCATCTTTAATGTTTTCTACCTATAAGATCATGTCATCTGCAAACAGATAATTTAACTTCATCCCTACTGATTTGGATACTTTTTTTTTTTTTTTTTACCCTTTTCTAATTGCTCTGGCCATTACTTCTGGTGTTATGCTGATTAAAAGCGGGCATCCTTTCCTTCTTCCTAATCTTAGAGGAAAAAATTGCAGTTTTTCACCATTGAGTATAATATTACCTGCAGGTTTTTCATATGTGGCCTTTTTATGTTGGGGTAAATTCCTTCTATACCTAATTTATTAAGAGCTTTTATTATGAAAAGATATTGAACCTTATCATATGACCTTTCTGCATCAATTGAGATGATAAACTGTTTTTTGTTCGTTTGTTCTGTTAATGTGGGATATTACATGAATTTATTTTTGTAAGTTGAACCAGTCTTGCATTCTATGGATAAATCCTACTTGGTCATAATATATGATGCTTTAAATGTGCTGATAAATTCAATTTGCTAGTATTTTGCTGAAGGTTTGTACAGTTTTGTAAGTATTTTCTTGAGGAAATTTGGCCTGTAGTTTTTTTTTTTTTTTTCTTGTAGTGTGTTTGGCTGGCTTAGATATAAGAGTAATACTGGCTCATAAATTAGTTTGGAAGTATGTTTCCTATTCTTCAATTTTTAAAAAGGCGTACAGAGGGATTCGTGTTAGTTCTTCTTTAATATGTGATAGAATCAACCAGTGAAGTCATTGAGTCCTGAGCTTTTTCTGTTATCACTGGGAGATTGATTCAGTCCTTCTCTTTATTATAGGTCTGTTCACAATTTCTGTTTCCATGATTCAGTCTAGCTAGGTTGTATATGTCTAGGGAATTTATTCATTTTTTAGGTTATTCAATTTTTTGGCTATCATGGCTCATGGTAGTCTCTTTTGGTGCTCTTTATTTCTGTAGCATCAGTCATAACATCTCCCTTTTCATTTATGATTTTATTACTTAAGTTTTTAATATTTTTATCATAGTTACTGTAGCTAAGGGCTTATCCATTTTAATATATATTTTCAAAAAACTCTTAGTTTTACAGATTTTTCTATTTTTTACTTATCTATTTCATTTATTTTGGCTGTAATCTTTATTTCTTCCCTGCTGTTAAACTTGGCCTTCATTGGTTCTTGTGATTTTAGTTCCTTGAGTTGTAAGGTTAAGTTGTTCACTTAACATCTTTCTTTATTCTTAATGTAGAATTTATAACCATAATTGTCCCTCAATACTGCTTTTGTTGCATCACATAGGATTGGTGTGTTGGGTTTTCATTTTTGCATATATCAAGCTATTTTCTAATTTCCCTTCTGATTTCTTCTTTGATCTATTGGTTGTTTAAGAGTGTGTTGTTTAATTGGTGCATATTTGTACATTTTCTAGTTTTTTTCTGCTATAGATTTCTAGTTTTATTCCATTGTGGTAGGACAAAGATACATGCTATGATTTCAATCTTTTTACATTTTTAAGACTTGCTTTGTATGCTAACATATGATCTATCCTAGAGAATGTTTCATGCACACATGAAAAGAACATGTATTCTGATATTCCTGGGTAGAATGTCTTACATATGTCTATTAGGTTCATTGTTTATAATTTTGTTCAAGTTCTCTGTTTCCTTATTGTACTTTTGTTGTATTTGTACTTGTATTTACGAAGTAACTAGTTTGCTATTGATTTTACAAGCTCATAAGCGGAAGGTATTTGCCTTGTCTCAGAGACTTTGTACTGTAGACTTTTGAATTAATGCTGAAATGAGTTAAAATTTTTAGGGGACTGTTGGGAAGGCTTGATTGGTTTTGAAATGTGAGGACATGTGATTTGGGAGGTCCAGGGGTGAAATTATATGGTTTGGCTGTGTCCCCACCCAAACCTCATCTTGAATTGTACTCCCATCATTCTTATGTGTTGTGGGAGGAATCTGGTGGGAGATAATTGAATCATGGGGGCAATGTCCCCATACTGTTCTTGTGGTAGTGAGTTAAGTCTCACCAGATCTGATGGTTTTATAAGGGGTTTCTGCTTTCTCTTCTTCTTCATTCTCTTCTCTTGTCTGCCACCATGTGAGACGTGATTTTTACCTTTCACCATGATTGTGAGGCCTCCTCAGCCAGGTGGAACTGTGGGTTATTGATTAAACTTCTTTCTTTTGTAAATTGCCTGGTCTCAGGTATGTCTTTATCAGCAGCTTGAAAATAGACTAATACAAAGGGAGAGATATAACTTGCCAATGTCTTTGAAAGAAATTGGGATTTTGAAGTAACCTCCCCAACTCACATTATTGATATGAAGAGATCTGATGTTTCTCTAATATTGAGTCTTCCCATATGTGTGTGTGTGCATGTGTACACAAAATAAAATAATCTCTGTCTTTTATTAGTCAGCCTTTTAAAAACTCTGTGATAACTATGTAAATTCCAAGCAGAACTTGAAATTGAGCTAATCATGAAAAAGAGAAAAACAGTATATATGTATGAGTGATATCTAGTACATTCACCTATAAAAACCTAAGTTTACTATCAATCACAGCAATATCCTTTACTTATGTGCTTAATGCTATAAGGTAAAATATAAATATAATGTATCTATATTTACTAATATCAAGGGCAATCTAAATAAAACTTTGGGAACAATCCTGAATCTTCTCTTCGATTGAAAACTAGAGTATTTTATGTGTTTACCAAATTGTAGTAAAATTTTGCTGAACAATTTTAGTAGAAAAAAAAAGCATTACTACTATTTCTGTGACTAGTGAAAATTTCTGAACCTGTTAGCCTTAGCAAGATTTGAAATAATTTCAGAGTATCAACAATTTATTATGTAACTATTTCCACCCAATTTCTTGTTATTCCTACAATATTATTAATTTAAAATTAAAATATATTAGAGATGGTGAGAACTTCAAAATACTGGGTAGGATGGTGTACAAGGTGATGAATCAATATTAAAAGTATTGAAGAAATAATTTGAGAGGAATCAGTTATATTTCCTTATTTCAACAATTTTCCCCATTGAATTTGCAGTCCTATAGCTAAATAGCAGCATGTATGCAGAAATTACGCCTTCTTGATTGTTACATAGTAAAAGAGCACGATATTAACATTATTATTTAATTACAAATACATTAATATGTATGGATTATTTTATTTACCTTTAATTTCTAATTTTTCCTTTTAGATTTTTTTCACTGAAGCACCAAAATGGATTTTAAACAAACAAAAACGACGTTACTTTTCCTCTTTATTGTGTAAATAAACACGTTAATAGAAAACCACTTCAACATAAATTTGGTACACAAAATGCCAAAATTTACACATGAATTATTATGTTTTCCATCATGCAACAGTGTATTTATGGAGAATACTGATATGTTAGCCTCAAAATAAATGATTAAAGATAGGAAATGAATAACAGAAGTGTCAGACATTACCCACTAATTTCAAAATTCACTAAATTTAAGAAAAAGGACTGCCAGAAACAATTGATTCAGAATGACAGAAAACAATGAGATATCATACATTAATGAGTTATTATAGGTTCTTAGAGAAGAGCAGTATTAAAAATACAGATAAAAATTGCTTTTTATTACCCCTCGTCAAAAAAAGAAAACCAAAAAGCAAAAAATTAAATTGTAGAAAAGACACTTAGAATACCTAACTGGAATAAGGGTTGGAGATTTGTAGGTTGACTGCACAGTTTTATAAATGAAGTATCAAAAATGTAATTAAGTTTTACAAAGATAGAACAATGTCTAAAGTTCATACTTTTGAAATAAACCATCATGACAATTTTGTCCTTTACTAGTTATACTTGTATTTGTATGTATTTCATATTTTAAGGGTAGGATTTTTTTTAGACATTTTAGAGAACACAAAATAGAATAGAAAAAGGTAAAAATATAAGTTTGGGATTAAAATATTTTTTCTGTCTAAGAAGAACATTCTTTTAATATATTTATTTAGTTCTTCATTTCTAGAATAATTTCTGGTATATTCAAGAAAATAAACTGTTTTGCATAATTTTATATGGTATCACTTTTTAAAAATTTTATTATTATTATACTTTAAGTTTTAGGGTACATGTGCACAACGTGCAGGTTTGTTACGTATGTATACATGTGCCATGTTGGTGTGCTGCACCCATTAACTTGTCATTTAGCATTAGGTATATCTCCTAATGCTATCCCTCCTCCCGCCCACCACCCCACAATAGTCCCCAGTGTGTGATGTTTCCCTTCCTGTGTCCATGTGGTCTCATTGATTTTTACCAAATATGCTCCAAAATTTTTAATAGAGTAATATGGTGATATGCATTTATTTGTACTTCTTATTTTCTTTTCTTAAACTATTATTTAAATGATTAATTATTCACATTTTCCTGTGATTGTCCTTAATTTATACAAATAGTTTTCCATATCATGTAGCAATTTTGCATTTAGGAAATGTCTCTTAAATACTTAATGACTTACTTAAGGAAAAATAAACACCTTTATATTTTATAGAGAGGAAGTACAGTGGTTCCAAGCATGAGTGCTTTCTTAATTATAAGTTATCATGGTAAACAATGGCAATAGTGAATCATGAAACATTAACTTGTCAACACCAAGGACTGACAGTCACTTTAAATCACCCTATGCAATGATGATGTTCACAAATTTGCTTGACTACCTTGATTGATATTAAGTATTTAACTAGACCTAAAATCTATAAGCACAGGGGGTTATGAGGAAAACATTTCATTTGAAGATATATTGGTTATATGGCATGAGATTTCACTGAATAATGGGAATAGTGATTATTGGCTTGCCTATGGAGCCCAGTTGTCATCAGCATGGGTCTGTGAAGGAAACTATTTCCTACTGCTACTCTCACATCAGCCTACTCCTGAGCTTTAGAGGGATTTTGAAATCAAATTTTCAAGACTGCTGTTTCCATTGTTAATCTCTTATTGTCTACACTGTGTAGAAAATATATCATTAAAAACTTGCTATGTAGTTTAAACTTTATAATAACTCTACAGTATATATTATACTGGAACCACTGTTTTACAGAGAAGAAACAAAAGTTCAAGGAGATTGGGTAGCTTGTCCAATGTCACAGAATTAATAATAATGACAGAAAAATAAGAAACAGAAAACAAAAAAGGAATTAACTGATTTGTAGCTAGAACGTCTTATGCAGAGTGGTCTAAATATTATAAATATTTTGACCAAGGAGGTGAAATTTTTCAGATTGTTTTGGCAAATAAAGGACTATCTCTGGAGCTGTGATATTGTCAATCCCATTCAAACTCTATGACTAATAATGGAAAAGAGATGTTTCTAAGGAAATCTGGAGGCTATTAGAGAAACGGATGATCCATGAAAGAGTTGTGTTCGCTCACTGTAGCTAGTAAATGATGATGATTGCATTTCAACTTAGATCTATCTGTCTGATTTATAATATATATGTATCTACTATGTAGACTAGACATACCAAGGGAATAAGAAAGTATGTATAGCCTCAGGACTAAGTATTTTATAACTTCTTAAAGAAATTTAAGAAATTCACTTAACCAGTCATATGTTTGCTGTTACTGTCATAAAAGCAGTTAGATAATAAAGAGATCATAACAAAATTTTTCAGATTTTATTATCCATTTGGGAATATCCCTTCACTGTATACAATATTAAATATATCTAGAGATGAGAAAAGAATTTGCAATGTATATTCCAGAAAAATGAATTAAAGAAAGAGAAATTCTGAATTCCACAATTCCTGACACCATATGTAACTTTGTCAAAGGATGAGTAATTTAGGCTGTGTCATCTTTCTTCTATATGAAAATGTAAACATAAAATATAAAATATCACTGCAAATTTAGAAGAGCAGATACAAGCTTTCTTACTAATTGCTACCTATGCACAGCAATCAAAGTGCCAAAATAGGAATAGAGATAATAGGGGGTGTTAAATGAAGACCAATATATGTCAGTGGTTTTGAATTCCTTATAACCAGGCAGTTACGTATTTCATTAGCTCTTCTGGCATTCACTGCTTTATCTAAGGGAGGTTTTGGAACTCAAGAAGCAGGCAGAATCAACATAAAAAAAGTTTAGGGGGAAACAATTTATAATAGATTTCATTACATGCTCAAAGGAAGACATGTCTAGAGAAGAATAAATATAAATTCAATTATTAATTAGCACTTAAAATCAGAGACAATGATTCTTATTTAGAGAGAAATGCCTCATAATTGATTTACTTGAGAGAAAAGGACATGAAAGTAATGCAGACTTTTTTTTGTTTTACTGTATCTTCCATTTATTATTGGTTATCAAGGTGGGTAAATAAAATATTATGTGATGATTGAATTTTCATCATTGCTCAAGAAAATAAATAAAAAACAGAATAGCCAACACTGAAGGAAAAGGTAAATAAAATAGGTTATACTCATGCTATAAAACACTTTGTAGACCTTTTAAATTCTAAATTAGAGCTATACCAATTAGGAGAGTAGAGTTGCACGAAAAATCAAGATATAGTAGAGTATGTATTATATGTTCCTAATATATTAAGCAAACAAAACATGAAAATGACCCCAAAAACTCCTAAAAAGTATTGTATGTGTTTGTGTACCAGTGTGTGTACATAAAATAGTATCATAATGAAACATATCCCTAAATGCATAAAGATGTTTAAGATGAATTACTTTGTATTGCTAAAGCAAGATAAGCTTATACAAATAAAGCAAGAGATGGAGGGTAAGAAGAATGCCAGCAAAATCAGAAAAGAAAAATAAATACTGCTCATATCAGAAATGAAAGAAGGGAAAAAAATGTAGTCCTGTAGAAAAATAACACTATAATATTAAGTGAAAAAGCAAGATAAAACTCTGAATATACTAAATTAGTTGCTTTATTAAAATATATTTAAAGGAACATGCATATAGAAATGTTGTTTTAGAAAATAGTATTTTATGTATAACATATATATAATATTGGTAAAATAGTGATGATCTTTTGGTAATAATATTATGTTGATATGTGAATATTTATTTTCTGACACAAAATATTTGCTTGTGTAAATATGCATTTATAATGTAAATTTAAAATTTTCACAGGTTTTAAAAATCAGGTTATCATATAAAGATAAATTTAAAGATGCTCAAGAAAGACAATAATACTATGTCATGAAAAAAAAGAGGACTTTTGTATCAGAGAATCTCAAATTCACATCTCACACCTGGCTGCATGAATGTGGGCAAGAATTTTCACTTCCTTAAGCGGTAGTATGTACTTCTATACAGTATATTAAAAAAGAAAAACTTACTTAAATTGTTGCAAAGATTAAATTAGGTCACTTATGTGAAGGTGTTTTCATTTATATTTATAAAATATAATAATAATCATAAACAGCAAAAAGGAAGCAAAATCAATTCCAAGAGCCAGATGGAAGACAATGAAAATAGAGAGAAATATAAGTACTAAAACAAGATTCAATAGCAAAATGGAAATATTTTGTGTAAAAAACTTCCATTTTAAAAATCAGTAGATGAATTAAATAATGGAATTTTTATTATTGCAACCTGAGTTTGTGGCCCAAATGATCAAATGAAAGCAACGTTTTGTACACACAATAAAAATACGAAGAGTTGCACATATAAGTCAGTGTCCTGTAGGACTGACACAGAAAAGGTGACTAAAACAATTCCCACAACGAGCAAATAAAGGACAGGAAAGGATTTAAAAATTTAAAAATAATATCTCCATGAACTGAGAACTTGAATTTGAATAATGGAAGAGTCCCAAAATTTTAGATAAAATAGGAGGACAAAAAAACACATCTAGATATATGATACATGTTCAACATTCCAAATCTGAAAATTTGAAATTCTAAATGTCCCCAAATGCAACACTTTTTGGGCACCTATATGACACTCAAAGGAAATGCTCATAGGAACATTCAATTTGAATTTTTGAATTTGGGATGCTCAACTGGTATAATGTGATAATTCCAAAATCTAAAAAAATCTAAAATCTGAAATACTTCTGCTGGTCTCAAGCATTTCAGATAAGGGGTATTCAACCTGCGTAATGATTCCTAAATTTCTGTCTAAAAATAAATATTGCAAGTTTTTATTCCAATTTTTTTTTCTTCAAAAAGGAAAAGAATGAAACTGACCTCATACTTCCCATCTATAATGTTAGACATTAAAGACAATGGAATAATATGTTCAGACAACTACTAAGAGAAAAAAAGACTGAGAATCTTACACTTAGTCATGGGATTACTTCCCTGTCACGAAAAGAATATGTGGAAGCTAAAAAAAATTTGATCTTATAGAAGTACAGAATAGAATAGTGGTTACTACAGACTGAGGAAGGTAGAAGGAAATGAGGGACAGGGAAAGGTTGGTAAAAGGACACAAAATTACAGGTAGATAGGAGGAATAAGGTCTACTGTTCTATAGCACTGAAGTGTCTATAAATAACAATAAGTATTGTATATTTAAAAATAACTAGAAGGGAGGATTTTGAATTTTCCTAACACAAATAAATAATAAATGTTTATGGTAAAGGTTATGCTAATTACCCTGATTTGATTGCTGCACACTGTATGTATCAAAATATCATTCTGTATACCATAAATAGGCACACTTATTATGTGTCAATTTTTAAAAGTCATGTATTGATTCACAGCACGTAAACCATTAGGGCAAGATGCATGAGTCTTAGCAAACATTTAGATATATTACTTAAAAAAAAATGAACAGAGATTTTAGATTTTGGAAGATAATGAGGACTGATAACAGTGGTTAATAATACACAGCTTAATCTAAATCATTGACTAATGACTTAGCTGAATTGGGATTCTTGAGATGAAAGGGACACACTGTGTAGGGAATTATATTAGAGCCAAAGTGAAGTACTAAATTGTCTCAGATAAACTTAGTGGATCGATAAAATAAAGTCAGGTAAGTGTGGTAGAAGTATTCTAAATATTATGCTTATAGCAGATGAAAAGAAACAGTGGGTGAATTGTGTACATTGACTAGGTGAAATAATCAGTGCTTTGTTTTCAAATAATAGTAAGGAAAATGTTTTTGGTTGTCAGTGTTAGAAAAAGATACATAATTAACTGTAGGTAGACGATCTAATATAACTTACAATTTAATAAGGGAAATAAGTAATGACTGGTAACCTCATCAATTAATAAGGATATAGGGGTTAAAAGGATGGAACAAACAGAAAGCTTATAAAATAGTAACTAAAAATGGATAATATAAAATCAATTACATCTGTCTTTATAGTACAGTTCAATGGACTGAGAGAGATGTCAACCTTAAATAATGAGAGTCAGAATATATGACTCATTATAGAGTTTATTTGAGCCCAATACTGGGAATGACCATCTGGGAAACACAGACTTTAGAGAAATGGGGTAAGTGCTCCAAAGTTAAAAATTAAAGTCTTGCTTATATGAGAAAAAAAATTAACAGGTTTACAACATTTTCTATATGATGCTGGTTTATACAACTGTTTTATTAGTTAATTTTTGTCAAAGCTTGTTTTTTTCTCTTTACATCTGTTTATATTTCTTTACTAATTTAAAAATATGTTTAACATTTTATTGTAGGATGATATGATAGTTATGAAGTATTTGTGTGAGAAAGATAAGAGGGAAATTAATCTATAATGAAGATGAACAGTAAAGAGTAAAGGGGTCTTCACTGTGCCCTTTAGTCATTTGCAATATTTTACAAAACAATGTAATTAAGGAAGAAGACTAACGTATAATCAGAGAAATAAAGGTTACTGCTGCCTAGGTTATATGGCCTGTCCTGTGACTCAGGTTTCATAATCACATTCCTTTAAGACTTTAAACACTTAAAGTTCCAACAGCTTGGATTTTGAATTACTTATATTCATGAGAGAGTGGGAGAGAAAAAGAATTTCAGGTTACATTAAAAGGACTATTAAGAAATGTGTTTCTTCATAAGAACCATAAATAAGAAAGTGGTGAGGAAAGGTTAAAAGTAAATAAATACATAGAAGGTGAAATAATACCTAGCAAAGAGCAACAATTGGGTGAAGTGATCATGTTATTATCTAAGAACATGATCTTAAAATTAGAGGCATTAAGAGGGGAAAAATATATCATTAGAAAAATAATTTATGAAGATGTTATGGCAGTCAGAGCTGTAACTACACCAAATAACAAAGAGTTAAAAGTATTTAGTTTGAAAAGGCAAATGAAACTAAGTAAAATCAGAATAAAAATTTGATTTTGATGTAACTTTTTTGAATTATATAGGTCTATTACACAAAAATATGGAAAAACAGAGTGATTAAATAACAATGAACCTGTTATATACATCCTAAAAATAGAGAATAAAAACATACTTTATGGAATGTCCTTGAAATATTTCCAAAAACTAATTTAGTAGTTGGCCACACACACACAAAAAGAACCTGACTAAATTTAAAATGTAAGGGCTTTGCAAGCTATATCCTCTGTTCACAAGACAAAATTGGGAGCGAAAGAAAATATTTTTTAAAAGTCCTTAACTTCATAATAATTAAACAACATGAACCTAATAGTGCTTGAGTTAAAGATAATGACAAACCTGTCATAAACTTAAATAACTTACTAAAAAACAAAGAATAAAAAATAAAAAGGAGGGGACAAGATGGCTGACTAGAAGCAGCTGCTGTTGGTGGCTCCCACCGAGAAGAATGCAAATGGTGAATGGATCCTGCACCTTCAGCTGAAGTATCGGGGTTCTCTTATTGAGAATTACTAGGCAGTTGGCACAACCTACAGAGAGTGAGGAAAAGAAGTATAGAACAATGGCCCACCTGGGAGCCGCATAGGGCAAGGGGAGCATCCACCCCCAGCCAAGGGAAGCAGTGAGTGATAGTGCTATCCCACCAGGAAACCTCACTGTTTCCACAGATCTGTGCATCCCATGGATCAGGAGATACCCTTATGAGCCCATGCTTGGGGTCCAAGCATAGAGCTATAGAGACAGTCAGCAGCCACTTGTATTGCAGCCAGTGGCAGCAGGCTGGAGACTGCCTAAACTGATTGAGTTCTGGGGGAAGTGGTGGCGGTGATCACTGTGGCTCCAGTCTGCCATTTGCCCCTGCTAGTGCCAGGAGACTGGACAGTTTGAACTGGGAAGATTTTCCTATGGCGCAACACAGTGGCTGTGGCAGATCGTGGCCAAACTGCTTCTTTGGGTGGGACCATGATCCATTTCCCCTCACCGGGTAAAGCCACCCTGCAGGAATTTTAGCAACTCCACCCATGGGTTTATGGACAGAACTCTGATCTCCCTGGGACAGAGCCCCTGAGGGAAGGGCTGCTGTGGTCTCCACGGCTCAGTGGACTTAGTCTTTCCTGCCTGCTGGCTCTGAAGAGGCCAGGCAGTCCAGACAAGGGGGATTCCTCCCAACACAGTGCACCGACACCTCCAAAAGGCAGCCAGTTCTTCATTAAGTGGGTTCCTGATCCTATCACTCCTGACTATGTGAGATCCCCCTGTAGGAGTCACCAGACACCTTATACAGGAGCATTCCCACCAGCATCAGGTCAGTATCCCTCTGGGATGGAGCTCCTTGAGTAAGGAGCAAGCAGCCATCTTTGCTGTTTTGCAGCCTCTGCTGGTAACACTAACAAGAGTGGGAGGGACACAGGTGAATAGGGTCTGGAGTGGACCCCCAGCAAACCGCAGCAGCCCTATGGAAGAGGGGCCTGATAAAGGAAAACAAACAAACCAAAAGCAAAGCAACAACAATATCAACAAAAAAGATCCTACAAAAATCCCATCCAAAGGTCAGCAGACTCAAAAATTGAAGGTAGATAAGCTCACAAAGAGGAGTAGAAAACAATGCAAGAAAACACCGAAAGCTCAAAAAGCCAGAGTGCCTCTTGTACTCCTAATGATTGTAACACATCTCCAGCAAGGGCACAGAACTGGGCTGAGAGTGAGATGGATAAACCGACAGAAAGAGGCTTCAGAAGGTGGGTAATAACGAATTTCACTGTGCTAAAGGACTATCTTCTAACCCAATGCAGAAAAGCTAAGAAACATAATAAAACATTACAAGAGCTGTTAACCAGAATAACCAGTTTAGAGAGGAATATAAATAACCCGAAGGAGCTAAAAAACACAACAGGATAGCTTAACAATGCAACCACAAGTATCAATAGTCAAATAGATCAAGAGGAGAAAAGAATCTCAGAGCTTGAAGACTATCTTGCTGAAATAAGACATGAAGGCAAATTAGAGAAAAACATAATAAAAAGGAATGAACAAAACATCCAAGATCTATGGGATTTTGTAAGAACACTGAACCTATGATTGATTGGGGTACCTGAAAGAGACAGGGAGAACAGAACCAAGTTGGAAAACATACTTCAGGACATCCAAGAGAATTTCTCCAACCTAGCAAGACAGGCTAACATTCAAATTTAGGGAATCCAGAGAACACCAGTAAAATACTCCATGAGAAGATAACCCCCACAAACATAATCATCAGATTCTCCAAGGTCAAAATGCAAGAAAAAATGCTAAGGGCAACCAGAGAGAGAGGTCACGTCACCCACAAAGTAAAACCCATCAGACTAACATCAGATCACTCAGTGGAAACCCTATAAGCCAGAAGATATTGACGGTCAATATTCAATATTATTAAAGAAAATAATTTCCAACCAAGAATTTCAGATCTGGCGAAACTATGTGTGAAACATTAGCGAAGGAGAAATAAAATCCTTTTCAGACAAGCAAATGCTGTGGGAGTTTATCACCACAAAGCCTGCCTTGCAAGAGCTCCTGAAAGAAGCACTAAATATGGAAAGGAAAAACCATTACTAGCCACTACAAAAACACACTGAAGTACACAGACCAACAACACTATGAAGCAACTACATTAACAAGTCTGCAAAACAACCAGTTTACATCATGATGATAGGATCAAATTAACACATAACAATATTAACCTTAAATGTAAATGGGCTAAATGCCCCAATTAAAAGACACAGACGGGCAAGCTGGATAGAGTCAAACTCATTGGTGTGCTGTATTCAAAAACCAATTTCATGTGCACACATAGGTTCAAAAAAAAGATGAAGGAAAGTTTACCAAGCAAATGGAAAGCAGAAAAAAAGCAGAGGTTGAAATCCTAGTTTCTTACAAAACAGACTTTAAACCAACAAAGATCAAAAAAAAGACAAAGAAGGGCACTACATAAGGATAAAAGGTTTAATTCATCAAGAAGAGCTAACTATCCTAGATATATATGCATCCAATACAGGAGTACCCAGATTCATAAAACAAATTCTTAGAGTCCTACAAAGAGACTTGGACTCTCACACAATAATAGTGAAAGACTTTATCACTCCACTGTCAATATTAGACAGATCATCAAGGCGGATAATTAGCAAAGATATTCAGAACTTGAATTCAGCTTTGGATCAAGTGGACGTGACAGATATCTACAGAACTCTCTAACGAAAAACAACAAAATATACATTTTTCTTGCCACCACATGGCACTTACTCTAAAATTGATCACATAACTGGAAGTAAAACACTCCTCAGCAAATTCGAAAGAACTGAAATCATAACAGTCTCTCAGACCACAGTGTAATCAAATTAGAACTCAAGATTAAGAAACTCACTCAAAACTACACAACTACATATAAATTGAACATCATGCTCCTGAATGACTCCTGGGTAAATAACAAAATTAAGACAGAAATCAAGAAGTTATTTGAAACTAGTGAGAACAAAGAGACAAAGTATCAGAACCTCTGGGATGCAGCTAAAGCAGTGTTAAGAGGGAAATTTATAGCACTAAATGCCCACATCAAAAAGCTAGAAAGACGTTAAATCTACATTCTAACATCACAACTTAAAGAACTAGAGAACTAAGAGCAAACAAACCTCAAGGGTAACAGAAGACAAGAAAGAACCAAGATGTGAGTGGAACTGAAGGAGATGGAGACACTAAAACACTTCAAAAAAATCAATGAATCCGTTTTTATGAAAAAATTAATAAAATAGACCATTAGCTAGACTATTAAAGAAGAAAAGAGAGAAGAATCAAATGGATACAATAAAAAATAATAAAGACCATATCACCACTAACCCCACAGAATTAGAAACAACCATCAGAGAATAATATAAACACCTCTATGCAAATAGAGTAGAAAATCTAGAAGAAATGGATAAATTCCTGGACAGGTACACTCTTCCAAGATTGAACCAGGAAGAACCTGAATCCCTGAATAGACAAGTAACAAGTACTGAAATTGTGGTAGTAATAAATAGCCTACCAACCAAAAAAAACAAAAACAAAAACACAGGACCAGATAAATTTAGAGCTGAATTCTACTGAATATACAAAGAAGAGCTTGTACCATTTTTTTCTGAAATTATTCCAAACAATTGAAAAGGGGGGACTCCTCCCTAACTCATTCTATGAGGTCAGCATCATCCTAATACCAAAACTTGGCAGAGATAAGAGAAAAAAAAAACAAAAACTTTAGGCCAATATCCCTGATGAACATAAATGCAAAATTCCTCAATAAAATACTGGCAAGCCAAATCCAGCAGCACATCAGAAAGCTTATACACCACAGTCAAGTAATCTTAATCCCCAGGATGCAAGGCTTGTTCAACATATTCAAATCAATAAATGTAATTCATCACATAAACAAAATTAAACACAAAAACCACACATGATTATCTCGATAGACGCAGAAAAGCCTTTAGATAAAATTCCACATTCGTTCATGTTAAAAACTCTCAATAAAGTAGGTACTAAAGGAACATACCTCAAAATAATTAGAGCCATTTATGATAAATTCACAGCCAATATCATACTAAATGGGTAAAAGCTGGAATTACTCCCCATAAAAACTGGCACAAGACAAGAATGCTCTCCCACCACTCCTATTCAACATAGTATTTGAAGTTCTGGCCAAGGCAATCAGCCAAGAGAAAGAAATAAAGGGTATTCAAATAGGAAGAGAGGAAGTCAAATTTTCCCTCTTTGCAAATGACATGAACCTATTTCTAGAAAACTCCATCAACTCAGCACAATAGCTTCCTAAGCTGATAAGCAACTTCAGCAAAATCTCAGGATACAAAATCAATGTTCAAAAATCACAAGCATCCCTATAAACCAACAACTGACAAGCACAGAGCCAAATAATGAGTGAACTCTTATTCACAATTGCTTAAAATATGTAAAATAAAATAGCTAGGAATACAGCTAACAGGGGAAGTGAAGGACCTCTTCACAGAGAACTATAAACCACTGCTCAAGGAAATGAGACATGACACAAACAAATGGAAAAACATTCCTTGCTCAAGGATAGGAAGAATCAATATCATGAAAATGGCCATACCGCTCAAAGTAATTTATAAATTTAATGCTATTCTCATTAAACTACCATTGACATTCTTCACATAATAAGAAAATTAAATCTATTTTTAGATTCAGAGTGAAGCAAAGAAGAGCCCATATTCCCAAGAGAATCTTAAGCAAAAAAACAAAGCTGAAAGCATCACACTACCTAATTTCTAACTATACTACAATGCTACAGTAACCAAACAGCACGGCACTGGTAGAAAAATAGACACATAGACAAATGTGACAGAATAGGGAACTCAGAAGTAATTCTGCACATCTACAACCATCTGATCCTTGACAAACCTGACAAAAATAAGCAATGGGGAAAGATTCCCTATTTAATAAATGGTGCTGGGAGAACTTGTTAGCCATATGCAGAAAATTGAAACTCGACCTGTTTTTTACACATTATATGAAAAATAACTCAAGATAAATTAAAGACTCAAATGTGAAACCTAAAACTATAAAAGCTGTAGAAGAAAATCTAGGCAATACCATTCAGGACATAGGCATGGGCAAAGATTTCATGATTAAAACATCAAAAGCGATTTCAACAAAAGCAAAAGTTAACAAATGAGATCTACTTAAACTAAGGAGCTTCAGCACATCAAATGAAACTACCATCAGAGGGAACAGACAACCTCCAGAATAGGAGAAAATTTTTGCAATCTATCCATCAGACAAAAGTTTAATATCCAGAATCTACAAGGAACCTTAACAAATTTACAAGAAAAAAGTAACCCCATTAAAAAGTGGGCAAAGCCATGAACAGATATTTCTCAAAAGAAGACATCTGTGCAGCTAACAAAGAAATGAAAACAAGCTCAACATCACTGGTCATTAGAGAAATGCAAATCAAAACCACAATGCGATACCATATCACACCGGTCAGAATGATGATTATTAAAAAAAAAAAAAACAAGAAACAACAGGTGCTGGAGAGGCTGTGGAGAAATAAGAACGATTTTACACTGTGGTGAGAATGTGAATTAGTTCAACCATTGTGAAAGACAGTGTGGTGATTCCTCAAATACCTAGAACCAGAAATACCATTTGACCAAGCAATCCCATTACTGGGTATATACCCAAAGGAATATAAATGATTCTATTATAAAGATATGTGCACATGTATATTAATTGCAGTACTATTCACAATAGCAAAGACATGGTATCAACCCAAATGCCCATCAGTGATAGACTGTATTAAGAAAATGTGGCACATATACACCATGGAATACTATGCAGCCATAAAAAGGAATGAGATCATGTCCTTTGCAGGGACATGGATGGAGCTGGAAGCTACTATACACAGCAAACTAATGCAGGAACAGAAAACCAAACAATGCATGTTCTCACTTATAAATGGGAGGTGAACAATGAGGACACATAGACATATGGAGGAGAACAACACACACTGGGGATTGTCGGGGGTATGGGAAAAAGGAGGGAGGGCATCAGGAAAAATAGCTAATGTATGCAGGGCATAAAACCCAGGATAGGTGCAGCAAATCACCATGGTACCCATTTACCTATGTAACAAACCTGCACATTCTGCACATGTGTCCTGGAACTTAAAATAAAATAAAAAGTTAAAAGAAATAGTAAAAGTCTTAGAATATTAAAATAAATAAAAAAAGAGAAATATGAAATGGAAGTATTTTTTATAATAGAAAATATAGGATAAAATGCAATCAATACATATATAAGAGGATAGATAAATGATAGATATGATAATAATTCTAATACAATAATTAGATGATTTGAAGATACTAGAATATTTTAAGTAATCAGAATAAACCTAATATTTTGATAAGGTTAGTAATTAGATAAACATTGCTGAACTTTTCAAATGAGAAATAAGGAGAACAAAAAAATTAGTTGTGAGGAAAGAATAACCACAGATACTGAAAATATTTAAAAAGCAATATGGGATTATTATAGGAAATTATATGGCAACACATTTGAAAACCCCCCAAAGTGGACAGTTGTTCAACAAAATATATATTACTAAAACTGGCACACAAATTAAGAAGAAATATGAATAAAATAATCTGAAAAGGTCTTAGAAGCATGATTACAGAAGTATCATATAAAATAAACATAATAAAATCAACTTGCCACCGTATCTTTAAGGTTTAAATAAATTTATTACATTAACAATTTGCAAAAACATATAGGTGTAGTCAGAAACTCCCCAATAATATCAGTTGCATTTTCTTTTTCTCTTACTTTAATGGTGTTGTACAAGATGGACTATCTTTTTCTGTGCTAGAGTTTTTGGCTACTTTTAATTGGCTGTTTTTAACTCATCCAGCTAAACTTTCTAAATTTACCTTCTAGGTAGTTTAGCTGCATAAGCAGCTTTCTACTCATTTCTCTCTACTTGCAATTTTTCTGCTAAGAGTGACGTTTGATAATGAGATGACATTAAGGCCCAGAAGAAGAGGAAGAGGAAATAATATTTTGCTTTTGCCACACTTGTAAAATAGTGTCATTAAGGAAAGTTTAGAACTACACATTTTTTGGTTAGTAAATATACTGCATCCCAAGTTAAGTGTAAAAAATGACAGTAAATTTGAATTATGTTACTTGTTTCTTAATCATTATGTCAATAAATATTCTTAAGAACCTCTTTTGTGACATGCACTGTGATTGTTAGGGAAACATATGAGAACAAGCCAGATCCACTTCCTGTTTTGTGGGGTTTGCATATGTACATGTATTGGTAGTATCTGGCCTTAAAGGATTACAGATAGGCCTTAAAATATTTGGCCCAAATGTGTACTTCCAAATCACCTTCCACTGATATATAAAAAAAATAAAATTTCGTCTTTCATTTTCACATGGTCAAAGTGCTTTACAATTTGTCTAGATTTTATATATTTTTGGGGTGATTTGTAGGATATATTTTATGTACACTTACATTGCCATCACACTCATTCAGTCTTTATTTTATTTTTATATAGGAACACAGTGATGCACATTTTGCTTAATTTAATCCATACATCCTTAGAACTACAATAAAAAGTCCCACAAAATTAAGGGGACACTTGATAAATTAATTCTAAATTGTTTATGGAAGAACAAATGGTCCAGAAGAGTTTCCGCATGTTTTAAGAACAATAACAGCAGAGGACTTGAAAAATTTATTATCTTTTTGCTATTAGTATACTGAAAAATAGATTAGAATGAAAAGACAAGTTAATTAATGGAGTGAATGGAGAGCCCTGAATAGGTACAGAATTTGCAAACTGGGAGGAAATATTTATCATTCATATTACTAGCAATTACTAACTAAGAATATGTAAAGAACTTATACCACAAATCAACAACAATAGAATATAAAAATAGACAATACATGAAAAATATTTCACAGATAACGAAACATATGGCCAACAATTAACAAAAAACCCTCCTTGCTCTTGTTGACTCTCAGTAAAACACAATTCAAAAGAACTTAAACACCACTTTTTATACCCTTTCTTTAGCAAAAATTAAGTTTTGGTAATATCAATGTTGGCAAGGATGTGGATCATTTTTACTTATAAAAGTTAAATTGTAAATTCCTCCAACCATACTAAAACAATTGGAAATCATTTTATGCAGTTAATCATTCAAATATCCTATGATTCAAAATTCCACAAAAGTGGAAAGGCTTATACCAAAAAGAGAACTTTGAACATAAATATCAGTTAGAATATTTAAGAATGTTTATAACAGTACTTTCATAATAACAAAAAACTAGAAACATGCCAAATGTCCACCAAAAATATGGATAAATTAATCTGGTATACTGATACAATGATTATAATATAGCAGGAAAAATAAATGAAGTGCAACTATATATACAACTACATGCATAAATTTGCATAAGAAACTGCTATGAGAAGAGGCATATTAAGATGACTGCATGCAGTATGAGAAATATGTAATATGGTTTTCTTGGGGGAAAATGGTGGCTAGGAGACAGGACTAATGTGCAGCTTCCACTTGAATGGACAGAAGAGTGTGTGGAGACTCACATCATGAACTTTTGCTGCAAGAACCACTGCAGGACCATACCAGGAAAACAAAAGAATTCACAGACCCATTTGAAAGAAGTGGCTAGCTACTGCAAACTCTGTGAGATAGCCAAAAAACTGTGAGTTCTCAAAGTGTTAGCGGGCGGAAAGTCTGCCTCTGAATACACATCCGTAATGGAGAACCTGAAAATCCAGATCACAGGAGATGGATTTAACCTTACCTATAGCTGAAACAGTAAGGGAGCTAAGCGAAATATAAAAGTAAAAGAAACAGTGTAAAGAACCCTGTAGGCACTCCCAGTCCCTAGCTCAAGCCCAAAGAAGTCATCCTTGACTTTATTTCACAGGAGTTCTTGGGGAAGGTAGCCAGTAGAATTAGGGAGGGACCAAAGGGTGAAAGAGGCTTCTAACTGAACTTTGTAATAATTTCAACCAAGCCCAAATTTTTCTGAGCAGGATCTGGGGAGTGAGCTGCAAGTGCAGATACAAGCACAGAAGCCACAGCCAATGGTGCAGGCATGTGTTGGGGAGAAAGGCCTGAAAGCCCTGCTTGCTTTCTCAATAGGGAGGCTTGTAGCTTGGGGCAACATCTCAGACCTGCTCACCAGCTGCTGGATACAAACTGGGTGCTGTTGGTGTGGCATGGTGGGAGTGAGGCTGGCCTTGCTGGCTGTGTGGGAGCTCGGTGAGGCCCATTACTGCCAGCTTTCCCCCACTTCCCTGGTAATCTGTATGATAATCACTAGAACAAGTAGAAGAAAAAACTTTAGAGCTCGAAGACACAGCTTTGGAATTAACACAATCTGACAAAGACAAAGAAAAAAGAATTTAAAAAGTGAACAAAGCCTCCAAGAAATTTAGGATTATGTTAAATGACAACACTTAAAAATAATTGCTGTTCCTGAGGAAGAAGATAAATCTGAAAGTTTGAAAATCTTATTTGAGGGAATCATTGAGGAAATCTTCCCTGGTCTTGCTAAAGATCTAGACATTCAAATAAAAGAAGCCCAAAGAACACCTGGGAAATTCATTGCAAAGAGATTATCAAGTTATCTAAGTCAAGACAAAGAAAAGAATTTTAAGAGCAGTGAGGCAAAAGCATCAGGTAAACTATAAGTGAAACCCTACCAGATTAACAGCAGATATCTCATCAGAAACCCTACAACCCAGAAGGGATTGGGGTCTTATATTTAGCCTTTTTAAACAAAACAATTATCAGCCAGGAATTTTGTATTCAGTGAAACTAAACTTCATAGATGGAAGAGAGATAAAATATTTTTCAGACAAACAAATGCTTAGGAAATTCCCCACTACCAAGGCAGCACTACAAGAAATGCTAAAAGGAGCTATAAATCTTGAAACAAACCCCAAAATACACCTCTTTAAAGCATAAGTCTCACAGAGCCTATAAAAAAGTAACACAATGAAAAAAAAAAAACAAGGTATTCAGACAACAACTTGCATGATGAATAGAATAATACCTCATATTTCAATACTGACGTTAAATGGAAATGGTCTAAATGCTCCACTTAAAAGATACAAAATAGCAGAATGGATAAAATTCCACAAACCAAGTATCTGCTTCAGGTCTTCAGGAGAATCACCTGACACATAAGGACTCACATAAACTTAAAGTAAAAAGGTAGAAAAATATATTCCATGCAAATGGACACCAAGAGTGAGCAGGAATAGCTATTCTTGCATCAGACAAAACACACTTTAAAGCAACAACAGTTAAAAAAGACAAAAAGAGACATTGTATAATGACAAAAGGATTAGTCCAACAGGAAAATATCACAATCCATAATATATATGCACCTCATACAGGGGCTCCCAAAGGTAGAAAACAATTTCTATTGACCTAATAAATGAGACAGATGGCAAATCAATAGTAGTGGGGGACTTCAGTACTCCACTGACAGCACTAGACAGGTCATCAAGACAGAAAGTCAACAAAGAAGCAAAGGACTTAAACTGTACCATAGAATAAATGGACTTAACAGATATTTACAGAACATTCTACCCTACAACTGCAGAATATACATTCTATTCATCAGCATATGGAACATTCTCCAAGATAGACAATATGCTAGGCCACAAAACAAGTCTTAATAAATTTAAGAAATCAAAATTATATCAAGTACTCTCTCAGACCACTGTGGATCAAAATTGGAAATCTACTCCAAAAGGAACCCTGAAAACCATGCAATTACGTAGATAATAAATAATCTGCTCCAGAATGATCATTGGAGAACAATAAAATAAAGACGGAAATTTAAAAATTTTTTGAACTCAATGTTAATGGTGACACAACCGATAAAATCCTCTGGGATACAGCAAAAGCAGTGCTAAGAGTAAAGTTAAGAGCATTAAATGCCTAAAACAAAAATTCTGAAAGAGCACAAATGGACAATCTAAGATCAAACTTTAAGGAGCTAGAGAAACAAAAACAAACGAAACCAAAACACAACAGAAGAAAAGAAATAACAAAGTTCAGGGCAGAATTAAATGAAATTGGAACAAAAACTGCAAAATATAAGTGAAACAAAAAGCTTATTCTTTGTAAAGATAAACAAAACTGATAGACCATTAGTGAGATTAAACAAGAAAAGAAGAGAGATCTAAGTAAACTCAGTTAGAAACAAAATGGGAGATATTACAACAAATACCACAGAAATACAAAAAAAAAAAATCATTCAAGGCTAGTGTAGACACCATTATGTGCACAAACTAGAAAACCTGGAGGAGACTGATAAATTCCTGGAAACATACACCCCTCCTAGATTAAATCAGGAAGAAATAGAAACTCTGAACAGGCCAATAACAAGTAACAAGATTGAAACAGTAATTTTAAAATTGCCAACAACAACAAAAAAAGTCCAGGGCCAGATGAATTCACAGTTGAATTCTATTAGACATTCAAAGAAGAATTGGTACCATTTCTACTGAAACTATTCCAAATGATAGAGAAAGAGCAAATCCTCCCTAAATCATTCTATGAAGCCAGTACCACCCTAAGACCAAAACCAGGAAAAGACATAACAAAAAAAAAAAAAAGAAAACTATAGGCCAATACCCCTGCTCAATATACATGCAAAAATTCTCAACAAAATACTAGCTAACCAAATCCAACAGCATATCGAAAACATAATGTATCATGATTAAGTGATTTTATACCAGGGATGCAGAGATAGTTTAACATATTCAAGTAAATAAATGTGATACACCACATAAACAGAATTAAAAACAAAAAAATAATATGATCATCTCAGTAGACACAGAAAAAGTATTTAATACAATTCAGCATCTTTTTATGATTAAAACCCTCAGCAAAATTAGTATGGAAGAAACATACCTTAAGGTAATAAAAGCCATTTATGACAAACCCACAGGCAACATTATACTGAACCAGGAAAAGTTGAAAACATTCCCTGTGAGAACTGGAACAAAACGAGGATGCCCACTTTCATGACTCTACTCAACATAGTACTGGAAGTCTTAGCCATAGCAATCAGACAAGAGAGAGAAAAAAGGGGCACACAAATTTGTAATGAGAAAATCAAACTGTCACTGTTTGCCAATGATATAATCATATCATTTAGAAAACCCTAAAGACTCATCTAGAAAGCGCCTAAATTTGATAAATGAATTCAGTAAAGTTTCAGGATACAAAATCAATGGACACAAATCAGTAGCATTGCTACACACCAATAGCAGCAAAGCTGAGAATTAAATCAAGTACTCAACTCCTTTTACAAAAGCTGTAAAAAAAATTAAATAAAATAAAATACTTAGGAATATACCTAACTAAGGAGGTGAAAGAGCTCTACAAAGAAAACAATAAAACACTAGTGAAAAAAAAAATAGACAACACAAATGAAAACACATTCCATGCTCATGGATTGGTAGAATCAATACTGTAAAAATAACCATACTCCAAAAAGCAATATATAAATTCAATGTGATTCCCATCAAAATACCATCATCATTCTTCATAGAACTAGAAAAAATAATCCTAAAATTCATATGGAACCAAAAATAGCCTGCATAGCAGAAGCAAGTCTAAGCACAATGAACAAATCTGGAGGCATCACATTACCGGACTTCAAACTATGCTACAAGCCTATATAGTTACCAAAACAGAATGGTAGTGGTATAAAAACAGGCACATGGACTAATGGAATAGAACAGACAACCCCAAAATAAAGCCAAATACTTATAGCCAACTGATCTTTGAGAAAGCAAACAAAAACATAAAATGGGAAAAGGACACCCTATTTAACAAATGATTCTGGGATAATTGGCAAGCCACATTTAAAAGAATAAAACTGAATCCTCATGCCTCACCTTATATAAAAATCAACTCAAGATGGATCAAAGACTTACATCTAAGAAATGAAACCATAAAAGTTCTAGAAAATAACATTGAAAAAAACCATTCTAGACATTGGCTTAGACAAAGACTATATGACCAAGAACCCAGAAACAAATGCAACAATAACAAAGGTAAATAGAAGGGACTTAATTAAACTAAAAAGCTTCTTCACAACAAAAGAAACAATCAGCATATTAAACAGACAACCCACCAAGTGGAAAAAAAGTCTTTGCAAATAATGCATCTGACAAATGACTAATATCTAGAATCTATAAGGAACTCAAACAAATCAGAAAGAAAAAATATAATCCCATCAAAAAATGAGCCCAGGGCATGAATAGACTATTCTCAAAAGAAGATACACAAATGGCCAACAAACCTATGAAAAAATGCTCAATATCACTAATGATCAAGGAAAGCAAATCAAAACCACAATGAACGACAACCTTACTCCTGCAAGAATGGCCATAATCGAAAAGTAAGAATATAATAGATGTTCGTGTGGAGGTGGTGAAAAGGGAACACTTTTACAGTGTTGATAGGAATGTAAACTAGCACAACCACTATGAAAAACAGTGTGGATATTCCTTAAAGAATTAAAAGTAGATCTACCATTTGATCCAGCAATCACATTGCTAGAGGAAAAGGAGTCATTGTACGAAAAAGATACTTGCACACACGTGTTTATAGCACCACAATTTGCAATTGCAAAAATATGGAACCAGTCCAAATGCCCAAAAATCAATGACTGGATTAAGAAAATATTATATAACATGGAATATATATATATATATATATATATAATGGAATACTACTTAGCCATAAAAAGGAATGAAATAATGGCATTCACAGCAACCTGTGTGGAATTGGAGAATAGTTTTCTAAGTGACATAACTCAGAAATGGAAAACCAAACCAAACATTGTATGTTCTGTTCTTATTCATAAGTAAGAGCTAAGCTGTGAGGATGCAAAGGCATAAGAATTATACAGTGGACTTTTGGGGCCCAGGGGAAAGGGTGGGAGGGGATTGTGGGATAAAAGACTACACATTGGGTACAGTGTACACTGCTTGGGTGAAGGGTGCACCAAAATCTCAGAAATCACAACTAAAGAACTTATTCATGTAATCAAACACCACCTGTTTCTCAAAAACCTATTGAAATAAAAATTAATTTTAAAAAAGAGCAAAAAATGAGTAAATTATGAATAATTGTAATTTACAGCCATTGTCTTTCAAAGCATGAGGTCTCTGGAGGAGGAAAAAGCAAAGCTAAGTGGCCCTGTGGTAAAATGATAAAAAATAGATGTTCTTTATTTTTAGGCATAAATTATAGATGATAAGAGGTTTGGCCCCTAAATGATGATTGGGTCATGAGGGTTCTGCGCTCATTAGTGGATTAATCCATTTATGGATTAATAACTTAATGAAATATCATGGGAGTGGGTTACTTATCATGATAGTGGGATTATAAAAGCCAGTTTGGCTGTCCGTATGCATGTCTCACACTGTGATGCCTTTTGTGACATTATAACACAGCATGAGGCCCTCACCAATAGCTGATCAAGTATGGCCACTCAGTCTTGAACTTCCCAGGCTCCAGAATTATAAGAAATAAAACGTTTTTCCTTATAAATTACCCAGTCTTGAGTATTCTGTTATAGCAACAGAAAATGGACTAAGAAGGATATATATATATATAATATTTATATAAAATAAGTATTTATGCTATGATTTATACTAGTACTATATAGGAGACTGGGATATATACTAGGATAAATTTTATATTTATCATTCATATTTTATATAGATATATGCATGTACTAGGATATATGTAGAATATGTAGTATCCTAAGTATATACTATATAGTATATACTATGTATACTATATATAGGTCATACCATATATATACTACATATGGTATACTATATGTTTGACATATGTCTTAGTGTATGCCTATATAATAAACATACATATATTCATACAATTAAAATTTTAGTGTGTGTGTGTGGGTGTATCCTGCTATCATGTAATTTTAATATGCTAAAATTTTATTTAAGCAAGAAATAGTCTAGTTGTTTCATCATTAAAAACTTTAGGAGGCAATACTAATCATAAATAATGCTATACATCCTCTTAGTCTTAATGGTGAGGAAATGATGGCAAATGTCAACTTTGCATGTGTTGTATTACATCCTAGGTATAATGTAACAGGAGCAATCCTATTGTTAAGGATTCTTTATTATGAAGGCATTAACTCATATGGTATGGTAAAATTATATGAAAAGTTGTTTATGTGAGTATGTCTTTCTTTGATTACAATCTATTAAAAAGTCAGAATGGGCTGGGCACAGTGTTCATGCCTGTAATCCCAGCACTTTGGGAGGCCGAGGTGGGAGGATCATGAGGTCAGGAGATCGAGACCATCCTGGCCAACATGGTGAAACTTCATTTCTGCTACAAATACAAAAATTAGCCGGGCATGGTGGCGCGTGCCTGTAATCCCAGTTACTTGGGTGGCTGAGGCAGGAGAATTGTTTGAACAGGGAATCAGATGTTGCTCTGGCAATAGAGCGAGACTCCGTCTCAAAAAAAAAAAAAAAAGTCAGAAGGAACATTGTGCTCTGTTGCCAATCATTGCCAAACTAAGTACTTGTGAAAATATTTGATAAATGATGGGGAGGGAAACAATGTTATTACTAAAATAGAAGATTCCTATCTTATCTGGATTATTTATTGCTTTGTTTAAACTAGTTTTCAAAGACAATGTTTTTAAATGTAGGCACCTAATACTGGACTGTTTAATTCATAGACAAAGTGCCCGTAACATCTAAACTATCATACAACTAGTTATAACTGCAGTTGACCCTTGAACAACATGGGTTAGAATTGCACAGGTCCATTTATGTTAAGGGGATCGATAATACAGTATTCAAGGAATGCAAAATAAGCATATATGAAAGCTCTACTTTTCATATCCACCAGTTGCACAGGGCCCACTGAAGGGCTTGAGTATGTGGGGATTTTCACATATGTGGAGTTGGAAGAGTGGTCCCAGAAGGAATACCTTGCATGTAGCTAGAGGCAACTGTAAACTGTGTGACTCAAATTTCCTGAATATAAATGTATTCATTGATGTGACAACCTCAACTATTCGGAATGCTTCTAGGAATGTGGAATTCAGTATTGAAGTCAGGAAGTCTATGTGCTAAAAAAATTTCTAAGACATTATCTTCAAACCTAGTTTAATTTTGAACAAAATTCTTGCAAGTTTGGCAAGATGGCTTTTCAGCTCACAGAAGCTTACATGTAGTAAATAAGAGAGACAGATTGGGAAGAACTTGGGAACTGCTGGTGGCAGATATAGAGATCAAGAACATGTCCTTGAGTAGATGAGTGGAGACATATGATGACAATGAGACAGTTCTGCTCTTTAGAATCTCACCTAGACAGGCATAGCCTGCCTGACTGTGAATGAAAACAAAATATAAAAAAATCAAATTATACAAAAAAGATCATTTGGTGGGAAGGCAAAAAGGTTAATACTTTTAAACATATTTCAAAGAGTTTACTTGCCCTTGAAATCTTTGTTCTATTGCTGTTCATTATTAACAATTTTTTTTAAGTATATCCGACTTCATTAAGAGAAGACTAACTTATATTCATCCACTATTTTAAGTATATGTAAAGGACATAGTATGCTTGGGAAATCTCTAAATGTCATTTGAAAATATAAAGATAAGCTCTTAAAAACTGAGCATAACTCAGCTGGAATGTTATCTCACATGCAAGCTTATTCTGTATGTCAGTTAGGATCTTCATGAAAACTTAAAGTTAGTTTGGTAAATTCAAAGCTATAGAAAATAGGAAATAGACGTTCTTATGAATGTAATACTGTATGTCTAGTGATTTCAGAAATAGCATCATGCAAGACAAATAAGCAAGCTATGTTGTGTCTTGTAATTATGAGTAACAGTTCTTAAGATTTAGCAAGTAGATGTAAATACCTCACGTAAAGTAACTCTGCCGCATCTCTGAAGACAAGAACAATAGTTAACATTTACCTAGTCGATCATTGCACATCATTAGCTTCTCTTGACCCTTTAAACTGTTATGGTAGCAAAGAAAAGCAGATAATAGGTAAAAACTGTGCTTTTATTAATACATTTAAGATTTTAGGCTCATTAAACTTAATATTTAAGATACTTCTGCAAAAGAGCAAGAGTACATAGACACAGCTTTGAAAGAGTTGTGTTTTGAAAAAAAGTTTTATAAAATGTTAAAATATAACAATAGAAATCATGGAGCACATTCAAGCAAGTATTCCTTCATTTGCTAATAAGGTGATTTTCCATAGCAAATATTAAAATAAAATAATTTAGTTATATTCATATTAGTTCTGTGTAGCAGTTTTATGTCTGTGTCCATTGCTTACTGGTCTAATTTAAGACTACAAATCACATACACACACAAAAAAAATCTCAATGTAGATGTTCCTTTCTGTTTTTTAAAATGCTTCTATACATACAGTCTCATTTTTCACTCACAACTCTAGCAAAGGTGTTGTTATTTACATTATAAGCATTTTGCATCAAGAAGGGAAAGGGAACAGATACTTGTATTACAAGACGAATACTGATGAGAATTATCATTTGTTTAGAACTTATTATGCTTTTCATACACTAATTTAATTCACATTATCACTTTATAAAATAAGCATGCCATTAAAATAATCACTTAGCAGATTAGAGTTTTAATAAATGATTTTGCCCAAAGTCACGCAGCTACTAAATGATGAAGCCACGATTTGAAGGCAGGTTTTCTGTCTGATGCATCAACTGCTCTAAGCTTTCAATTTAAGTATATTATCATATTTGACCACAATTTATTACCCTTGCTTTACAAATGAGTCAACTGATATTCAAAACATGTCAATGAATTGTTCTCTGATTTAAAACCCAGCCTTCTGATTTTGAGAGTTGTGATCTATGGTAAATACATGGCTAATTAAAATATATATATATATATATATTTTTTTTTTTTTTTGAGACAGGGTCTTGCTCAGTCACCAGGCTGCTGTGCAGTGGCACAATCACGGCTCACTGCAGCCTGGAGTTCTCTGGCTCAGGCGAGTCTTCCCCGTCACCCTCCAGAATAGTTGGGACTACCATACCCAGTTAGGTTTTATATTTTTTGTACAGACATGGTTTTGTCATGTTGCCCAGCCTGGGCTCCAATTCCTGGGCTCAAGCTATCTGCCCATCTTGGCCTTTCAAAGTCCTGAAATTATAGGCGTGAGCTACCATGCCCAACCCAAAATGTATTTGAGAAAGGTTTGCTTTCTTTGCAGCTCACAACAATACGTTTTTTTACATGTATCATCAAGAACACGTGCCAACTGTATGATTTTTATAAGATAATCATTATATCAATTTTTTTTTACTGGAGCAGGCTACAGCTTAGGAGGAGTTGGAGACAGGTTGGAACTATAGGAGTTGGGGACAGTTGGGGAGAGATAGGTTAATTTTTGTATAAATATTATGCAAATATTACAACATTAATTTTTACATAAAATCAAAATTTTCTACTTATTATCTACAGATGTCGTAGGGGCACATATTAGTGAAATAATAAATTGGCCATGCAATTTGTTTGCAGTTAATATAATATTTTGATGAATATCCTTTTTTCTGCCTTTATGTTCTTTATTGTAACAATAAAGAAAATCAATTTAGGAATTACACTATTGTGTTACTAGGGATGCAATCTTTTCTACAAACTGAAACTAGCTCTAAGGTTATTTGCGATACTATATTTAGATATTTTAATGAGGGTCAGGGCCCGCTTGAGTTGCAAGTGAGTTGCAAATGACATGGCAATCATTCTTTCTTCCAAAGAACCAAAGGCTGCTTATTTATTTATTTATCTTTGTTTATTTGTTTTTTTGCAAGAAATGTATGTTTTATATACATCAACTTGATTTCAGCATAATTATCAAATTATTATGAAATTTCTGGTATGGCTAGCTCTTTCTGTCTCAGAATGTAAGAAAAAATTGAATATCAAAACAGTTGTTTAAAATTTCTCTTGTGTCTTTGGAAAAAAGTTTATCTTACTCTTTAATATATTTGGTTTCAAATACATCATTTTTATAAATTATAAAATTCTAAAAGAGCAGAAGTTACATGTCCATAGCTCAATGAATATAATAGCAATATCTGCTCAAGATCTGCTGAGACTTGCCTGTAGTTTTATCTGTAGTTTTCTAGTGACACATATTCTGCACTGTTTCACATAGCTTAAAATAACAATTAGGACAAATAACTAATGCATGCGGGGCTTGAAACCTAGATGACAGGTTGATAGGTTCAGCAAACCACCATGACACATATATACCTATGTAACAAACCTGCATGTACTGCACATGTATCCCAGAACTTAAAGTAAAATAAAAAAAGTTAAAAATTAAAAAAAAATACCAATTAGGCCTAAAAGGACACATAGCTTTACTACAGGTATATGTCAGCAATATTGCAGGTTTGGTTCCAGATCATCACAGTAAAGTCAGTCACATCAATTTTCTGTTTTCCCAGTCCATATAACAGTTGTATGGACACTATACTGTATTCTGTTAAGTGTGCAATAGCATCATGTCTACAAGAATGTAATTTAATTAAAGCTTAATTTAAAAACAGCTTATTGCTAAAAAATACTGGCACTATCATCTAAGCCTTCAGTGAGCCATAATCGTTTTGCTGGTGGAGAGTCTTGCCTCCATGCTGATGGCTGCTAACTTATCAGGGTGGTGGTTGCTGAAGGGTGGGATGGCTATGGCAATTTCTGGAAATACAAGAAGAGTGAAATTTGCCTCATTGATTGACTCTTCCTTTCACGAAAGATTGCTGTGTGGCATGCAATGCTGCTTGACGGCATTTTACGCCTAGTAAATATTTCTTTCAAAATTGGAGTCGGTCCGCTCAAACACTGCAGCTGCTTGACCAACTAAGTTGATGTAATATTCTAAATCCTTTGTTGCCATTTTAACAATATTCATAGCATCTTCACCAGGAATAGATTACATCTCAAGAAACTGCTTTCTTTGCTCATCTATAGGAAGCAACTCCTCAACCACTCAAGTTTTACGATGAGATTGCAGCACTTCCGTCACATCTTCAGGCTCCACTTCTAATTCTAGTTCTCTTGCTACTTCTGCTCTAATGGCAGAAAATGAAGTAGTGTGACAGACAAGTAGGGAGTTCATTTTGAGGTTCATGTTCTTTTCTCATATTTTTCTTTAATTTAACCTACTTTTGCTCCTTGAATCATAGAAGAGCATTTAAATCATTATTTCTTCCTTCAGTAAGAGTGATCTTACAGCTAGATTTGGACAAAACTCCATGCTTACCTCTAAGGGGTACCTGGAATCCTGGTTCTGATTGGATGGGCTAAATAGTGACTTAAAATGTGCTTTTAATATGTGAAGCTTCTCTGGCAGCACCTAGGGCTAGCTTGTTTATTTATGTCTTATTGTTGGTACAAAAGTTTAATTCACCTGTCCTGGCTGTGTGACCAGTAGGTCATATAAAACCACAATGGAAGCATTTGCATGAGCCCCCCTGAAGTCAAGATTCCTGTGGTAGGCCAAATAATGCTTCCTCTGAACATATGCATGCCCTAATTCTTGGAACCTGTTAATGTCATTCTATATGGCAAAAACAAAGAATAACAATTTGCAGATGTGACTATGTTAAAGATCTTGAGATGGGGACATTATCCTGCATTATTCAGGTAAGCTCTAAATGCAATCACATGTATCCCTATAAGAGTGAGGATGAGAAAGATTTGACACACACAAAAGAAGAAAAAGCAATGTCATCAGGAAGGCAGAGATTGGTGTGAGGCAGCCACAGGTCAAGGAATGCCAGCAGCCACCAGGAGTCACCAGGAGCTGCAAGAGGGAAGTAACAGTTTCTCTACTAGAGCCTTCAGAGAGAGAATATCTTTGCTAGAAGTGTGATTTTGGGCTCAGTGATGCTGAGTTTGGAACTTTAGCCTCTAGAACTATGACAGAGTGCATTTCTGTTGTTTGAAGCCCTCAGAGCAGTGGTAATTTGTTACAGCAGCCACGTAAAACTAATACAATTCCTCACACACATCTTGGTGGTTCATGATCTGGAAACAAATGCTAATTCCGTATGACTAAGAAATGATCCAGGAGAGCAGAGCCTGGCAGTATGTTGGGCCCTGTTCCTGGCCTGTGCTGTCTTTCTACTTCATACTATAACCTTTGCCTTTATTAGAGACTTCCTGAGTATGCTCTGTGGAAGGTTGTGAATGTTTTTAATTATCTGAACTGTGTAACATATGCAGTTAACATTATGAAGATTTTTGCAATAATTCCTGATTTGTAATTTTAAAAATGAGTAAGGCTTTACTTGAGAGATAGAAAGACAAGAAAAGTAAGAGTGAGAAATCATTGTTGCCTTTGGGCTTCCGTGGGGTGAAGTCACAAAAACACTGCAAGCATTGATGAGACAAAATTGTATCAATGCCACTTGCAGTTGGTAGATCAAGGTTTAGGGGAAGTGCTAAATCCAAAACAATAAAAATTCTAATAAAGAGGAAGTATTAGCTGCTTTTGTCTCTTTTAGCAGAAATAAAAGTAAATGAGAAACAATCCAAGAATGCTAGAACCATAAAGTTATGGCTGGTGACTGAGTTTGTAAAGCAAAGGGGTATATTTATTTATTCCAAGAAGGAAGTCAGGAAGATATCTGTTTTGATCAAAAAGATTTATGTCAGGCTAATAATGAATGAAATTGTTGTACAGGTTGTACATTCTGAATCCCTACTGAAATAAATTTTGCACATGGAAATATCTCCCACACCATAGCCATGTTGACTGGAGCCCTCAGGAAAAGCCAAGACACCTACCCATCAGCAACTGCTGGGGTTTTGGGCTAGAAAGTAATCTGACACTCATTGCAAGGCAGTTATTTGTCTGTGATTGGGCATTTGTTGGATGTTATCCTAAGGAAAATTATAAAATTATTTTGAGATCTGAAATGTCCATTGTTTATGGTTTTATGTAAAATCTTCATTCCAACAGGTAAGAAGATGTGCAGGAGAGGTTCCTTATTGAACAAAATAATATGTCCAAAATATAGATCAGGGGAGCCACTGGAAGTGCCCATCATCCATATGAGCAGGTGACGACTATGACTTCAGTCCTATGTTAGCTTCCCTGAGGAGTTTTCTAACTCCATTGCTGAAAGAGTTTCCCTCTGTAATCAGTTATAATCAGATGATGCCAAACATGAATCAGAGTTTAAGGATAGTTGCTCAAGAGTGAAGGGCAGGCACTCAACCTGGAAACTAGCTGCATTGCAGTGCATTAATTGCTGTAATTTAACTGATGAAGAAAAAGATAAACCTGGTGAATGGGCAGAATTAAATAGGTAATGCTTATGACATTAAATAAACTAGCTAATAACAATATTAATGTGGTATTATGACTTTTTATTGATTCTTGGGCATTAGCCAATGGAAATAGGCCTTTGGTTGACTGGCAGACAAAAGGAGCTCCAGATGGTGTACTATCTTATAGAAGTCTTTATGGACTTGGAGGGGGAAAATCTAAGTGAGGCTAGACTAGGGCAGACCTTACTCTAGGATGTGGTCCTTATTCCTAAGATGGAACTTTTCTGTTTTAGGTGGATACTGGGATCTTAAAGAAGTGTTAATAGAGCCTTTCTATACTGCCTGGGCTGAAACTTTACATCTCCTAAAACTCTTTGACCTCTACTATCTTGGTCCTGCTCTCAATATAATATTAGCCATATTCTGTAATAATCATGTGGTTTTTCCCTATGGATGTGAAGCTCATCTTTCAATCTTAAATAAGTACTATTGCCTTAAAAGACACAATTTCAGTATTTTTCATGGCCTTCCTAGTTATTCTGTGTAGAAGCTCGCACTAGGTATATAACCTGCCCTAGAGCAGAAATCTCTTTAAGCTGAATTTAGTTTTTCAAATGATATTCTCTGTAGTTCTGGTGTTAAAATTTTTAAACTTGATACTCCTTCCCACTTGCTTGACTTATTGTTCCTTCTTTTCTCACATATCTCATGAGTATTTTCTTGCAAACTCTCCTAATTGTAAACTTTTAACTACTGTTTTCACTTGTAAGATACACTATATCCTCATAGTTTCTTATTGTTGACAAATATACATTTGCAAATCTATAAACTTAATATAGCCCTAGTTTAAAACCAGGAAGAGAAATACACTGTATTTATAGTCTAGAGCTAATGTGGTGATTAGCATTTCATCAAAATTAACATAGAATTAGCATATTAGAATTTTGTTCTCCACAAACCAGAAAGGTTTAAACCTGCAAAAACAAAGATATAATATTTAAACTTGCAAAAACAAAGATATAATATTTATCTAAATTTTACACTAAGAAAGTTACCTTCATATTACCTTTGACAGCCTTTCAAGTACCCACTTAGAGCTAAATGTACCAATCCTGCATTGCAGCTCCAAGAAAACCACCCCGTCAGAGGTAGCCACTGGGCTGAACATCCAGCAATTCAGGAGTAACTTGTGTGGACTGGTAGACAATGCCCACACTAGCCTTTCTTACCCCCTAGTAATGCCTTGACAAAGTCCAAGATTCTGAAATATAATAAAATGATGAGAATTTTTTTTTAGAAATTAAACAGAATTATTGAGAACAATATTTATTTCACAATAGCAATTATATTATATTTCTTAGTAAGATTTGAACAAAAATTCCTATCCATTAGAGTATCAGTTCTTGCAAAATTCTTCCCTTTTAATCAGTCAATAGCAAAATATATGCAAATTATACCTTGCTTTACAAAAAAGAAAAAAAGAGATACATCTTCACTAGTTCTGATGCACATCTGACCATTTGCAAAAGTATCTTTTGGTAATTCAATTAGAGCATTTGACATTTCAGTAATACTTTCAGTCATGTAGTTATGTTTACATCCTCAAGAGGGCACTTTGATATAAGCTAAATCTTCCCAGAGCTGATAACAGTTCTCTATGGGCAGAATACTGATTTTACTGAATTTCTGCCTTTCAATATAACATTTTTCACATGTAGTCTTTGAACTTTTTACAGTAAAACCTAATATAGGTGTGTGCTTCTTTAATTGTGTAAAATGCAAGATTTTTGTCAACTTAGGCAAATGTCATTTTTTTCTTTCATCAGTTTCCCTGTTATGATAGATGTTGTCAGATCATCAAGAATCTTAAGGGTATTTTTCTTTCTGTGACTGATAAGTAAAATTAAGAGTGACACTTGGTTGATTCTATGGGATTAATTTCCAGTGTTATCTAGTTTTCATGTGTTTGTGTTCTAATTAAATGTGTATATTTAGCAATATCTCAATCCATTTACAAATTCTCTTTGAAGGAAGATTCTCTTTACATAACAATTCTGAATTATGAAGGTGTTAGGATAAGTTCTAGGATACTTATGTTTAGGAGAAAGATAGCAACTAGCCAGTCTTAGGTTTAGGTATCTCTAAGGGAGACCAGGATTGGAAACAGAATAACAAAAACATCATTCTCAGTGATATAGTGTTTCCAAGACTGAAGCCATACGCAGCAGTCAAAAAAAGATACCCTTGCAAGAGAAGAATGTGTCCTTCAATGGTAAGGAGAGTCTGAGAGTAAAATTTCTCTTTCTGTTGGAGATGAGAGAGGTGCACAATTCTGAAGTGAATATTTATGCCTCTTTAAGTATTTTAAACTTGATTTTCTAGATAATATAGCCTACTTATTACATATTGTATTTAAATTATTGTAGTATTAATTACTATACATTTATTTGTTTGGAATATTGACAGATAAATAATGAGATACTGAAGGATAAAACAGAACTAGAGTTTTAAGGTATTTAATATATTTTGATATTTAAGTTTGCTAAGGTTTAAATGTTGATCATCATTTCAATACTTTAATAATTTTGTATTTTTTCACTCTATGTTCTGACCACTACCTTCAGTATCAGATTTTTTTAAACTCACACCTAGGTTCAGACTCTATGTAGATTTAATTAAGTTATAAAATAAGAAATCAGCCTATACAACTTGGAAGAAAACAAAAATATGAAAAACACATGTAAAATGTTGAAGATCACATTTGCAATGAATTATCTTACTTGCCAATTTCAGGAATGTGTAACTGGAGAAGTTGCTTTATAGGGAAATGCCCTCTATTTGCTAAAAGTTATTTTCATAGGCCCCTTAGCTAACATCATACTGTATTTATTTAATATAAATTTATTATAGCTACTACCAAATGTCTGCATGCCATGTCAGGTTACTTAATTTTCTATCCCAGTGTCCTTTATGATGGGAGAATTCAAGCTTGAAATTGTCTACTCAAAATTTCAACTATAGGTGTCAAATACAATTGTAAGAATTAAACTTCAATTTTGTTTGGGTCTCTTGGCAGCTAGAATAAAAGAGAAAGGAAAAGAAAAGAAAAAAGAAATCAATGCTGTTTCCTAGGCATGGTGGCTCACACCTGTAATCACAGTACTTTGGGAGGCTGAGGCAGGCAGATCACTTAAGCCCACGATTTCGAGATAACCCTGGGCAACAAGGCAAGACCCAGCCTGTACCTAAATAAATAAATAAATAAATAAATAAATAAATAAATAAGAATAGCTGAATGTGGTGGCACACGCCAGTTTTCCCAGCTACCTGGGAGGCTGAGGTTGGGAGGATCATTGAGGCCAGGGCACAGAGGTTGCAGTGAGCCGAGATGGTGCCACTGCACTTCAGCCTGGGCAACAGAGTGAGACTCGGTCTCAAAAAACAAAACAACAACAACATCAAACAAAAACAAAAACAAAAAACATGCTGTTAGTTGTATGCCGACCCTATTAATCAAATCATACTTAGGTTCAGTATATAAATTAGTGTATACTCGAGAATTATTGTTGGATTTCTTTTCTGGGACCCAGGAGGTATCATAAGGACACTAAAGAAGCCATATTAAAGTGCAGTATCTGGGTTGACACATTTTGTTTCAGGAAGGAGTAACTGTGCAGAATTGGAACAAAGATCCAAGTCTACTAGCTATCATAATCATTTCTTGGCACAAGAAAGGTTCCATTTTAAATATACTGAAAATACTGGAAATAGGACATATCCATAAGTAAACCATTCATTAATATGTGTCATGCTCCATGTATCCTCCTTGGAAATCTGGCCACAAAAACACTCAAAAGGATAAGTCCAAGATGGGACTAGCAGACTCCTCTGGAGAAGTATGAGAAAGAAAAAATCCTGACACTCATGTATAGGGAACATGAAAATCTCAAGTAAATAAAATATGTCAGTAATAATAAACATTACAACTGATTACATTTCACCTAGTAGTTTTGTTCAACAAGTGTAGGACTTCTAAATTAATTAAATCGAACAATGAAAACTGACATTATGGTCCCTTGACCCATTGCTCCAACTGAGATTACCCATTCTTAATAGCTTTGAGGGATTGAATTATTTCAAGCAAGTGAATCTCCAGGAAATATTCATTTTTCACAGGCATTAATTAGACCTTGAAGCTCATGGAACTGAAGATATTAGTTATTGAACTTACTCACACCAGCTGGGTTGCCCGGCTTGGCCTCTATTACAAATACTTCACTTCTACCTTAAGGCTACTGTGAGTATCACTAGGTACCATTAGTTCAGACGTTTAATTTTCACAAAGCTAATAAAATTGAAATTTTTAAAAACGCATACATATGATGTTATAAAATAGATATCTATAGGACAGTGTCCCAAGTACAGTTAAAAAAAGAAAGAAATCTTATTTTTCTTTTTTTTGAAGTTGAGCTGAACTCTTGAATCCCTAGTTAATTGGGTGCCAAGATATCAAACAATAGGAATGACTGATAAGCATTCAGTGAGCTGTCTTTTCTTGAGAATTTATGTTGGATAAATGATAAGTGAACTTTAAAGCATTAGGTTTTCTGTCTCCTGTTAACCTTTATATCCCTTACACCCACTTCAAAGAAAGCTTCAAGTACAGAGAAGAGATGCAAAGAAAGATTAGAAAATGAGAATTGGAGTATGACTGTTTTTCTGGTAGAATGTTTCAATGGTTTAAAACTGGTCAAACAAATCTATAATGTAGACCTTGTTATCTTGATTCCCAGAGCTACAGGTAAACAAGTAAACTATTTTTCAATAGCATATAAATGCACTTTAGGAAATGTAAGGTAGGCTATAAATACATACATACATGCACACATAATACATACCACATATAAAATAGCAATTTTATTATATGGCAACAATATTTTTTTCTGATGATTACAAATAATGTCAGGAACATGCTCATTATATTTTTGAGAAAATGTTTTCTGGAACATATTCTGCATATTATCATTGTGGATTCATGGTATTGTGATGTGATTTAATATAAGAAGCCATGAAGAGCCATTGCTAGGGTTTTCTGTGGAAAAGAAAGTTTAAAATAATGCCTGAAGAAGCTATGGTGTTGTCTGCACAGAAAAAATTACAAGAATTTACTCTAGAGATTGAAAATGAATTGCCTTGTGATATTTAAATGAATAATAATATATAATGAAGGAGTGTTGCTATTTCATTCAGTCATCTATCACAAAACAATGTATACAATTGTGTAAATGCAGAGAACTGGAAAATATCAGGATGAAAATAAGAGTATCCTCAGTGCTGGAACACACCTTGGTGTTTCCGGAGGAAAAATATGTCAAGTGAAAAGAAGTAGAGGCATGTGCTGAGGTATGTACACATGCTACAAGAGCAGGAATTAAATATCAATTTTTCAGGAAAACTGTCAAAGGGAAAAAGACACCATCTGGTAGGCATTAGTGTCACCAGAACACGGGAGCACTTATCAGATTGGTGCAACAAATTTCTTAAGACCATCAAATTCCCTCTTTTTATTTCAAATTCATTAGTATCTAGAAGCATTGTTTTTGACATTTACTGAAATTCTTTTTGAGAAATTAAAGTTTTTGTAGGAAAATACATTTTGATAAGAACTTGAGCCATAGGTTAGAACACAACAAAGCCGGGCGGGCACGGTGGCTCAGGCCAGTAATCCTAGCAGTTTGGGAGGCCGAGGCGGGCGGATCACAAGGTCAGGAGATCAAGACCATCTTGGCCAACATAGTGAAACCCCGTCTCTACTAAAAATACAAAAATTAGCCGGGTGTGGTGGCGGGAGCCTGTAGTCCCAGCTACTCGGGAGTCTGAGGCAGGAGGAATCCCTTAAACCGGGAGGCGGAGGTTGCAGTGAGCGGAGATCGCAGTGAGCAGAGCCTGGGCAACAGAGCGAGACTCCGTCTCAAAAAAACCAAGAAAAAAAAAAAGAAAAGAAAAGAAAAGAAAAAAACCCAGATGAGGGCCAAAATAAGGAATAGAGAGACAATATAATATTATAAGACAGGAGGACATTGTCTCTCGAATCCCCAGTTAACTGGGGCTTAGTTAGTTGAGAAATCCACACATCTTCCTCATGACCTCCAACACCATTCACTCCTACACATGAGCACGAGACCGCCCCCCACCCGGCTTCCCGTCTCGCACACGCACACAGACCACATTTTCAATAACGGTATCAAGGCCTCTAAATGTTGGAAGTGTTTGTGGAAATGGTGAAGAAGTAGTACTTATTAGAATAGCATAGGTAGAATAAAAGCAATACTCACATATTAAAGAGAGCAGAAAAACCTGTGGAAGTCAGTGAATTAATATGAAAGGAAAAAAAAGAAAAATTATTTTGACAGTCACAAACTTTGTGTTTGGTGGTCTAGCCAGGGTTAACCAGATTAATAAGAGGCAGAAAGTAATCTAGCTGATACGTGGGTTTTGTAAATCAATAAATATGCATGTTTAATGAACATAATAGTTCCTGTCTTCTTGATTTGACAAGCATCATTACCAAAACAATCTCTAGACACACTGACAGAATTTTTGAATCTGCAAATTTTAAGAACCAGCCTTGGGCCCTAGTGAACCAAAGACTTTCCTCCATGTAATATTTGATCTCTTCTTCCTCCTCCTCCTCCTCCTCTTCTTCTTTGTCTTCTTCTTCTTCCTCTTCATGTTTAAAGACAAAATAAATGTTAAACTATTAGTAAGATCCTATTACGGGAATCTAGATGTAAGTCGCTGAGATCCTAAATAAGTTGTTTTCTTCAAGGAACTAATTTTCTATGAACGTGATTCTGAGCTCCACTTGTTTTCATTTTCTCTATCCATGTTTTTATATAATTTTACATGGGAAATGCTTTTGCTCCCTGTGGTGAGACTTCTAAAAATGAAAGCAAAGTACCATCAAAAGAATAATCAAAATATCGATGGGAGATGATTCTATATTAGAGCTAAAGGGAAAAAAAAACATGAAACATTGCTTAGGTTGGAATAAACAAAAAATGACTGGTAGCAATATATGCAAAGGGGTGCTTATTTGTGTTTGAGATGGAGGAGGCAACAGGAGTGTGTATATCGGATGATTTAAAATCAACTAAGTGAAGAGAAACATTGGAAACATGTCACTGAATATGTACATTTGTAGGCTGTATGGGTGAGGTCATATTTCCAACCCAGGAAAAGAAATAATTCCTATGAGCCAGTAAATGTTAAAGAAAAAATTTAGAGGCACAATGACAGAGCTAGAATTGAAGCTTGCCTCAAACCTTTAGGCTGACTTTAAATATGCTTCTTTAAAACAGAAATCATGACATAAAATCATACTTTGTAAATGTACACTAGATGACAAATATAAATGTTACTGAAAAAAAACATGGAATTAAAAACAAAGGAAGAATGGTGGAAGATGTAACAGAAAGTACAAAGGAAGTATTAATAATTCTGAGAATAAATGCAAGAAGAGAAAAGATACCTTTTTAGGAACTGAGGTCAAATAGGTTCACGTTTTTAACATCTGCTAGCATCCAAATGTAACTTTTTTCCTCTAACGTATAATAATAGTTTTTATTAAAAACCGAGTCTAGCACATAGCTAGTAAGTCTTTTATTCCCCCCAAAAAGCCATCTTTAAGTTGGTTTATCCCTAACATTTTTCATACTATAGTTTGTAAGTTTTGTGCTCTGTAATGCAGTATCAGGTTGGAAAATGCTGGGGTCATTATCACTGCTAAAATAATCAGAGGTCTGAAAGGAGAGAAGCCTGTGACTCAGTTTGTATCTATCCACAAAATGTGAAATAAGTTCATTGTCTGGTCTGCCAACATTCAATGCATGGCCTTTGATTGAGCAAGAGAATCAGAAATCCAAATTTAAGCAATTATCCTGGCAAACATAGCTTGACATGGTCATTAGGTTTTATGCTGTTTTAAAGCAAATGTGTTACCAGAAACCCAATTTACTCCTGACAGAATACTATTAGGCAACCAAAGCATAAAGACTGTCAAAGGTTTTCTCCAAGTAAAGCAGGTTGCTGACATAAGGTACTCTGCTCTCAAAAATATATTTATACACTTAACAATTTTTAAAAACCAAGTTTCTTTACTTCCTTATTCATTCTTATAAATATCTCATTCTTTCTAACACTGATATTTAAAAAGAGTGTTTTTTCTGTGTTCACATCTCTACTGCATGGATGGTGGTACCCTAATTTAAATGATGGTGGGACAGCTGGCCCACCAGGTTGGCACTAAAATAAAAAGAGGGAGGGTAACAAAAATGCATGCCCAGTGAGAAATAAGGTTACAAGCAATGAGCTGTGACTAAGAAGAACTTCAGAGCTTGAAAACTCTTCAAATGCCTTCACCCCTTCCTCAACTAAATTCTGACAGGTGAAACTTCTTCAAATATGAATTTGAAAGACATGTCACAACATGACAAATAAATTTCAGCCTGATGAATATGAGTATATTATAATATAATGATGTACCTTTTGACTCTTAAGCAGCTAAAGAGCTGAGATACTGATTTTTTTAAAAAAATCTGAAGTTGACATTTTCTGATTAGCATTTCAAACCTTGTAAGATCACGGAATATTTTTCCTAATTTAGTCCAAGAAATGGTAAATAAGAGTTCTTCAAAGAAAGGTGGTGGAAGTGAAGGAATACAAAGTTCTATGGGAAAAAATGCTCTATGGGAAAAAAAGCATATGACAAAGGGCATAGTATAATGCCACAGGAAATAATGACAAATTCTGTGTTGAAGGCATATAATACATGACTTTTTTCACAGGAAGAGTTTCAGATTAACTTTGGTTCATGTTTTAAAGAATATTTGATAGATTTAGTTATATAGATAGATAAATTAATGCTTTTTTAAATAAATATTCAGTTAGTACATACTATATTCCAGGTACCACCCAGCTTCTGGAAATAGAGCAGTGAAAAAGAGAGATACATTGTATGCTATTAAGGGACTAACATTCTTATGTGGATATTTCACAATAAACAAGTTAAGTTATTCCAGGCAGTGCTACATTTTTAAAAAGAAAGAGAAGCTAGCTCCTATGACAGCAAACAAGTGGAATGGATGTGGGCAACATCAGATAGGAGTTAAAAAAGACCTGTCTGAGGAGATGACATTTGGGTTCACTAAGTGCTGAGAGACACTTCAGGCAGAGGAACAGCATCTGAAAAAAAAGTGAGCTTAAAAAGAAAAAAAAAAAAAAAAAAAGACCAGTCCGGCTAAACCTTGCTGACAGAGAGTGACAAAGAATGGAGTTGCTAAGAGATGGCAGAGAGATAAGCAGAAGCCAGGTCATGGAGAAACTCTCAGGCTAGTAAGAAGACTGGCTTTAATCTTCTGCATAGTGAAAAGTCACTGGAAGAAATGCAGCAGGGGTGTAGTTGACCTGATTTCATATTTTAAAGAGATCAATCCCTGTAGGTTTTAGGGAGACAAAAGTTGCCAATTAAAGGACTTGTGGCTGCAGTGTAGGAAAGAGATAATGATGCCTTGGACTATGTGTCCCATGAAGACAGATAGAGGTGGATAGGTTTGAAATACGTTTTGCAAGTAGTGTTAATAATAATTTTTCAATAACTGAATGTAGGAATTGACGGCATTTTTAAAAATCAAGAATGACTCTTGGCTTTTTATTTGAGCCATTAGATAAATATGGTGCATTTCCTGAGTTGCAAGGGACCCACTTGTCATTTCGTAGGATTTAAATGTATTCTGTCAGCAAAGGGGTATCAACAGAAGTGGTTAAGTAAGGAAGTATCAATCAGATCTAATTTTTATGAATATAACATTGGTAACACTGTAGAGAATGAACTAGACTTAGGGGAAGACTGGTGTCAAGGATAACGTATAGCTTTCTGTTAAAATTTTCCTGGGAGACATGAAAATATCTTTCAGATGTTGCCTGATTTTACATTTCCTAAATAAAGAAGTATTAGTAATTACAGTGATATGTAATGCTTTGGAGACAATTAGCTTTAATTCCCCCAAAATACAAGTGATTCACTTAATTCGGGGCTCTTTAAGTGACCTACTTCTTTATTCTAGTAGGTTCTTTAGTTTTCTAGGCTAGAAAATATGGAGAAATAATATATAAGGTGGGTATTCATAAGAATAAAGTTTTATAGGGTAGATTACACTAGAATCCATTACAAGTCATTATAGAACAGGGCAATATTGACAGGACTTTTTTTTCACAACACGTTTTAAAAATTTCATTTCATTAGTATGATTAGGAGAAAACCATTCCTAAAATAATCTCACTGCTTCTTTTACATATCAGCAAGGAGAATGATTGGCACAAGGTCTTTTCTCACTTTGGGGATAATAACTCATGAAATAAAATTAGCTGCTTGCAATCCATTAAAGGAAAAAAAATGAATAGACTTCATTTTTAAAAAGACGTTTACTCTCTGAATGGCCCTGTAAACAGGAAGAAAATCAAGGAACAGTATGGGAAAAATATTTACAAATCACATATCCAGCGATAGACTTATATCTAGAATATATAAAGAACTCTTAAACCTCAAGAGTAAATACAGAAATTATCAAATCAAACGATGGGAAATATAGAAAAAGACATTTCACTAATGGCAAGTAATTGCATGAAACAGTGTTCAACATCCTTACCTATTAAGAAAATGCTAATTCAAGCCACAATGAAATGTCACTACACATCTGTCAGAATAGCTAACATAAAACATGGAAATAAGATCAAGTCCTTAAGAAGATAAAGAAAAACTGCATCACTCTTACATTACTGGTGGTATGTAAAAAGGATATAGTCTATCTGGAAAACGGTTTGGCATTTTCTTTAAAAAAATGAAATTGAAAATGCTGTAAAAACCAGCATAATCACACTCCTGGGCATTTATTACAGATAAATGAAAACAGGCTCACAAAAATCTGTACATTAATGTTCAAAGCAAATTTACTTGTAATAGCTCCAAAGTGGAAACAACCCAAATAGCCTTCAACAGGTGAAAGTTAAACAAAATGTGATACATACATACTATACTATACTACTCAGCAATAAAAAATCACAATAAATTATTATTAACTATGATCACCATGTTGTATACTAGATATCTTGAACTTAATCCTCCTATATAACTAAAATTTTCTACCACAAAAATGATAATTATGTGAGGTACTGCATATGTTAATTAGCTAAATTTAGTCTTTTCATGACATATACATACTTTCAAACACCATGTTGCTTGTGATAAATATATACAACTTTATGTCAATTAAAAAGATCAAAAATACATTTAAAAAACCAAGAAGTTATTGATACAGCAACAACTTGAATGAATCTCAAGGGAATTATGCTGAATGAAAAAAGACAGTCTCAAAATGTTGTATTCCTGTAATTACATTTATACAACATTCTGAAAACAGCAATAACATAGAGATGGAAAACAGATTAGTGGCACGGGGCAGGGAAGGATGTGGCTGTGGCTATAAGAGTTTGATGTGGTATATGTACACATACGATTATACAATTATATAAAAATAATGTTACAATTGTGAGGAAAACTTTGTGACTGTGATAGTAGTCACAAAAAATCTATACATGAAATAAAATTTTATACAACTAGATACAAACACACAGACACATGAAGGCATGTAAATTTGGCAAAATCTGAATATAGTCAGTCGATCGATGTTCATTTTATGGTAGTGATATTATATTACAGTTATGCAAAATGTGGCAATTGAGAGAAACTTCTTGAGAGGTATACAGCTCTTCTCCATATCATTTCTCACAATTTCATGTACATCTAAAATCATTTCAGAATAATTTCTTTTTTTTAATTTGCTGCTGGCATCCTGAAGAGAAGGTGAAAACAGACTGAATAGCTGCAATGTGAATTATGGCTTTTCATGTGAGAAAAGCCATGAAAAGCTAGCTTCTGATTTTGTAGATCATGTCATTTTAATTACTCTTCTTTATTATCTTAGATTGAGACAGCTTGAGCTGCAAGCAAAAGTGAAGTTAATTCCCTGTGATGTTTATTTGCCTTTAGCAACAGATATTTTACCTTTGCCTTAAATTATAGCCATGGGGGATTTCTGTAAGTGCTGTCATACTGTGGATGATGGACCGTCTGTAACAAAATTACGTGGTGTGCTTAGGAAGCAATGCAGAGCTCCACACTGTACCTCTGAGCTACCCAGATTCTGGGGGCATAGTAAAGATCTCCAAAAAATTATATGAGGTTTCTTTCAAGTGATTTCAGCATTTTAGCAGTAAAAGTAACATCCTATTTAAAGACAGGAAATGTAGCATGCGTAACAGTTGAGTTTTGGCTTTGAAGGCAGGCAAGCAGGCCTGTGTTGGACTTTCTTACCCATCACTTCCTAACAATTGGAATTTTATCAAATTTGCTAACTTTTCCTAATCTCAAGTTCTTCATTTATTAAATACTAGTAACAACGCAGGATTTGGTGAGGACTTAAGTTAAAAATTTAAATTGCTTAGAAAGTTGCCTGAAAAGTACATATTCAATAACACCCATATCCATCTATCTATCTATCTATCTATCTATCTATCTATCTATCAATCATCTATCATCTCTCTCTCTACCTGTCTATCATCTCTAAGTTTCTTTATCTATAATTTTGATATTTAAATGCTTACATAAATCTTCCATTTTAAATTACAAGTATTTTAAGACAAGGACTTAGATTTTTTTTTTATACTGCACCAGGGTCCTAGATGACCTGGTTAATCTAAAGCGTTCTTAATTGACTTCTTCTTTGATAATATAGATACATTTGAAAAAGATGGGTATCTTAGGTAGTTTGTCCAATATTGTTACAAGTAATTAATGTGCTTCAAGAATTATTTCTATCTTATACCTCATATGTAATTTGCAATTCTGGTTTGTAACCAAGGTTTGATATTGACTTAGCTTTCTAGGACACTGAACCCATTTTTTTCCATTTATTTTATTTTTAAATTGTCTCCCAAAGCAACGTAATTATGAATTTAAATATTGGCAACAAACGATTTATTATATTCTAGTGTCTAGTTTATGTACTGTTAAATCTATTATGGAGCCTTCAAATGAAATGAAAATTGATTCATTGTTAAAATAAAGTAAATATTTCTGTTGTTTGTGTTTTCCCATTTGTGAGCTTACAGAAAGTAAAGGATATTAGCTCAGTCAAATGTGAACATATCCCTGCTGGGACTAAAGGGTTCACCTGCTCTGTGCACCTTGGCATAGATACTTGTTGAAAACAAACTTTTATTTTTATTAGTCTCTAAATGATGTATGAAATGAAATATCCTTGCCAACTTCAGATAATGGACTGAGTTTTGCTATGCTCAATTACTTCTTTGAATGTTTGTGTGTTCAATTCTACTTACATTTATTTTTTAACTATAAGTATACCTTTTAATTTATTCAAAAGAATAGTACAATCATGATTTAGATATAATAAATGATTATTGGGAACAATTTTGGAAATTCCATTGTAACATGTTACTACATTCCGCATGTTAATGTGTGAAGAAATATAGTGCTTTCTTCATTTATGTAGTTTACAAATACCTCCAAAAGCACTCAGGACAATTCTTTGCTGGGGAAAGTAAATACGTTTGAATAATTCTGAGCCACATTATCAATATCTGAAAATTCTTGCATTGGACTCATAGTGATCTCAATTGTCCATGTTTAGGATCAATTTTAAGATAATTGAGTTTGAGATCCACAGGTTTCGAAATTCATTTTGCAAGCATAAAATATTTTAAACTATAGAGATTTGTAGGAGAGAAATAAATTTCAAAATTTAGCTTAAAGTGTGAATAATATACCTCTCCCTCATTATATTAAAATGCTAATTTTTTTCAAAAATGATATGATTTATTTCTAACGTATATATATATATATTCAAATATTTCAGAAGTACAAATACATATTCAATGTAATAAAAACTATAGGTAAATATTGAATTAAGAGAGTCTGTTATTGATACAAGTGAGATGCTCAACCATTTCTTATTCTTACTTATACTTGGATATATTTCAATTTTGCTTCCCTATTTACAGAGACTCAACACAGAGTAAAAACTGAGTTAGTACCTACAAGGCATGATTCAGGGAACAATCTTTTATAACAAATTAGTAATTCACAATTTCTACCTCATTTCAGTTAGATGTCAGAGGAAAGTTATTATAATTGGCACTCTAACTTCAGACCTTGATGATTATACAATATTTTATGTTAAATTTTTTTCCTTTTATTGTTAGAGAAACTCTTAACTACAATTGTAATATACTTCTTAGTTTGAACACTGGAGGCCCAATTCCAACTTTTTTGTATAAAACACACCCCTTTTTTACCCCACATAGACAAATTATTCGGTGTGACTTGAAAGAAATATTCTGATGTATATCCATGTCTTAGGTTATCTTTCTCATAGTAAAGTTGGGAGGAGGAGCTTTTATTTAGGAAAGACAGTGTTCTTGGGAAAAACTGTTGTAAGGGAGTGAAGGAAGCAGAACTGGGCAGAAGTTACACTCGAATGCATTTGAAAAAGAGGTCACAGTTCATCTTAGGAGAAGCACTGAAGCTGGGGTGGCTCCTAAAACTTGTCCCAAGTTGAGGCAAGGGGGAAAAATCTTTGTACCCTCACATTGACCAGTTATTGGATGCAGTTTGGCCCTAGATAGAGTGTGAAACTTAGGGTGAAGCAGCTCTCTTTGGCTAAGTGCAATTTTCTGCTATGCTCTGAGCTCTGGGCTATTGGCAACCCAAACCCCTAGAGCTCATGTGCCTCAGTCCTGAAGGGCAAATCTGGGTTGTGTACCACAGTCCACCCAGCATGCTGCCCATGTTCACTTGTTTCATATGGTAAATTCATAGGATCTGGGAAAAACAGCTCATTCAGAATTCTCATTAATCTCTTTTCCTGAGAAACATCTGAAGAAGATTAGTTTCAGGCCTACACTATAGCTGTTCTCAGGATCACAGTGAATATTCATCACCTCCTTCTTCTGTAAATCATTCTAGGCTCCTTCCACTCTTGGTTAGCACATCTGCTGTCTAGGTAGCTTAATGTGTGGAGTAATCTAGACTTTCATCCCTGAGGAGGTCAGACCCCGGTCACCATATCCTACTATATTTGTCTTTTTATCTTCAAAATTGGGTGAAAACTTACCAAGAGATATCCAAATAGATGATCTGGGTATAAAACTCATTCTTCTGTGTTCTAATTTTATTACCTCAGTCCTGCCTCTTCCTAATGTTGAGTTCATTATCCCTTTCACAATGGTGACTCCTTGCTTTCTTGTTAGTCTTACTGCCTGAGGAACCCAGTGTAACACTAGCTTAAAGCTTAATGGGGCTTTTACTATACTCTTTGATATGGCTCTGTGTCCCCACCCAAATCTGATCTCGAATGGTAATCCCCTCGTGTTCAGGGAGGGACCTGGTGGGAGGTGATTGGCTCATGGGGACGCTTTCTCCCATGTTGTTCTCATGATATTGAGTGCTCACAAAATCTGGTGGTTTAAAGATGGCAGTTTCCCCTTCTCTCTCTTTCTCCTGCAGCCTTGTGAAGAAGGCGCTTGCTTCTCCTTCACCTCTCGCCATGATTGTAAGTTTCCTGAGGCTTTCCCAGCCATGTGGATATGTGAACCAATTAAAACTCTTTGATTTATAAATTACCCAGTCTCAGATAGTATCTTTATAGCAGTGTGAAAATGGACTAATACACTCTTCAACAGAGTTATGTTTACTCTGGGAGCCAGAGTAAACCCATAGAGTCCAGAGTCACAAATTATTCAAGTAAGTCAGTGGGTAAGATAGTAACTAGGGCCATTCCTATATTCTCTGGTTCCTGGACCCATATATTCTAATATTCTACCCATATATATTTATATGTGTGTATATACACACACACACACACACATCACACATATACATAAGTCAATTAATGTTATGTGATTCTGTATCCACAGTGGGAAGACTATTAGAATATATGATGTATACATATATATATTTATGTGTGTGTGTATATATATGTGTGTGTATATATATATATGTACACACACATATATGTGTGTGTATGTATATATATATACATACACACACGGGAGTCAGTTTGCCATTCCTTCCACAATCCCGCAGGGTACATTTAGCAATGTCTGGGAATGTTTTTGGTTTTCACAATTGGGTTAGGGTGACCCTGAAATCTAGTGAGCAGATTTTGTGATCTAGTAATTCTAATAAATATACTATAAAACACTGTAAAACCCACTAACACATAAAAATTATCTGATCCAAAATTTCCGTAGTACAGAGGTCAGAAAGCCTTACATTAGCTCATCAGGCTACAGGCTTCTGGCCATTATGATATGACTACCAGATCCGATGGTCATGTGCCAGCTGTAATTTTTCTTCTGCCATGAAGTGTTTGTTTGGTCTTGCTGGACATCATACCATATAATGATGTCCCCTTCAGACTGAGACACTCTAGTTCAGGGGGTTTGGGTTGCCAATACATCACAGCTGAGATACAACATTTTATAAGAGCTTAGATTATGGTTCTGCTATGACAGTATTAATAGGAAAAGCTAACCCATATCTGGAATATGTATCGTGTTTATCCCAGTTAATGATAATTACAGTTGGCCATTGAACAACACAGGTTTGAACTGCATGAGTCCATTTATACACTAATTTTCTTTGCCCTCTGCCACCTCCCACCACTGAGACAGCAAGATCCACCCTTCCTCTTGCTCTTTCTCTCCATCCTACTCATTGTGAATATAAGAATAAAGACCCTTTAAGATTATCCACTTCCACTTAATGAAAAGTAAATACATATTCTCTTCCCTATAATTTTCTTAATAACATTTTCTTTTCTCTAGTTTACTTTATTGTAAGAATACAGTATATAATACATATAACATACACAATATATGTTAATCAATGTTCATGTAATCAGTTAAGGCTTCCAGTCAACAGTAAGCTATTAGTGGTTACATTTTTGGGGAATCAAAAGATGTATGTGGATTTTTAACTAAGTAGGAGCTTCAATACCCCTAACCCCCACATTCTTCATAGGTCAACTGCACTGCTTTTTCAGGGTATAAAGTATCTGATGTAATGAACTAACCATTAAATGATAAGTTGGCCTCCTCAAAAAATGATGTCCAGTTAGGAAATCAGTATTGATTTATGTTTCTGCAAGTTTTGACATTTGACAATAACGACAGCTAAATTCATCTTGGAAAACAGAAGGCTAAGCTGTTTCAATATGCATAGGCTCCACCCCTGGCAATCATGGCAATTTTATTCATACTCTGACAGTTGATGAAAGAGGCAGATTGAAATCAGTTGGATGGGTTATTGTATCTGTATGGCTCTTTAATTCTTCTGCCATGTTAAATAGTTATTGGTGTGTTAACATGTGAATCAAAGATCATCATACTTTGTGCCCACTCACGTATGAACAACTGAATAACTCTTCCTCACACCTCTTTATCCTTCACCATCCTATCGTTCCCCTTCAAAGATAATATGCAGCTATCCAGGCCATTTATCATTCCCTGCTATTTCATGTATATAATTAGTGTGAGGTGCTTCTATTTAGCAAAACATAATGGCTAGGTACAACACCTAAAGCTCAGCATAGTGGGAGGATTTTGCTTCAGCCCCACTTTTCAGAGCCACCCCTGAGTGTGAAATGAAGTAGCAATACATTTTTTATTTGCACCAGTACACCAAGGCACTTCATCCATGAGCAGCATTTAGACATTTTCCTCATCCATAATAATGTGTAAGAGACTGTCCCCCCAACATGGATATAAGTTTGAGTTGAAAGAAATATCTATAATTTCATTTTGTCTCAAATGGTGATATAAAAACTAAACAACCTATTGTCCACCTTTAATGAGAGAATAAAATAAGATTATAAATATATAAAATTCATTGGAATATAGAAAAATATGATATTGTTAATACTTTTATCATATAACAAAGCAAAAATAATATTATGATAAACAGAGATTCAATAAATAAGCTGGAGGTGGTGATGCGTGCCTATAGTCCCGGCTGCTTGGGAGGCTAAGGCAGATTGCTTGAGGCCAAGAGTTTGAGGCTGCAGTGCACTATGATTGCATCTGTGAATAGCCACTGTGGTGTAGTCTGGAAAACACAGTGAGATTTCATTTTTTAAACAATAATAAATAAATAGGCCAGACACGGTGGCTGATATCTGTAATCCCAGCAATTTGGGAGGCTGAGACAGGCAGATTGCTTGAGCTCAGGAGTTTTAGATCAGCCTGGGCAACAGAGTGAAACCTCATCTCTACAAAAAATACAAAAATTAGCCAGGCATGATGGCCTGTACCTGTAGTCCTTGCTACTTGGGAGACTGATATGGGAGAATCGCTTGAGCCCAGGAGGAAGAGGTTGCAGTGAGCTGTGATTGTGCCCCTGCACTCCAACCTGGGCAACAGAGCAAGACCCTGTCTTGAAAAAAAAAAGAAGGAAAAAAATAAAGCAAGCAAGAAAGGAAAGCAAGAAAGAAAGAGAAAGAAAGGAAGAAAGAAAAGTGAAGCAAGAAAGGCAGACTAGATTACCTACCTGAGATTTGGGATCTTTAGTTAAAAATGGAAAAACAAAAAGTAGCCATTACTGTTAGGGGTCTACTTATACTATCTGAAAGGATTCAATGGGCAATTTCTCTAAATCTAAGGAGTGTTTGTCTGTATGTAAAGAATGTAAAGTAAAATACTGCTTCCTTCATCAACAAAGTCTTGACAAGTGACTGCTATGGTCTGAATGTTTTCAAAATTCACATGTTGAAATACCAACCCCCAAAGGAGGTAATTAGGTCATTAGTGCCATTATAAAAAGACACCAAAGAAATCGCTCTTCCCTTCCAAAATATGAGGACACAGAGAGAAAGCACCACCTATGAACCAGAAAGCAGGCCCTCACCAGACACTAAATCGATGAGTGCCTTGATCTTGAACTTCCAAATCTTCAGAACTGTGAGAAATAAATTTCTGATGTTTATAAAATGCCCAATTTATGATATTTTTTGTAGCAGCCCAAACTTACTAAGACAGAGACAAACAAAGATCAATAAAATCACACAGTTGCAAGGAATAATGCTCTCAAGACAAAACTGGACTATTTTACAATTTGTCTTTGGTTCTTCACTCCTAGGAAAAGATGTTTTAGGTTCTTAAAGCAGATGTTTTCTAAATAGTCCTAAGTGATGGCAGTACACACAAGAACTCCAGTCACTCAAGTGGTCAGAGTGTCGTGTGTCCTCCAAACTGCCACACCAGTTTTTCAACTTCATAACCAGGCTTCATAGGACTTCATAACCAGGCTTTCTGCCAACCAATAGCTGGCAGAAATGACAGGCATGGAATTCAGAATATGAATAGGTATGAAGATTATGAAGATTCAGGAGGATGGTAAAACCCAAACCAGGGAACTAAAAGTCACAATAAAACAATACAGGAGCTGAAGGAGAAAATAGCTGTAATAGCAAAGAACCAAAAACAAATTTGGCACAGCTGAATTGCACAATAAAAAATTTCACAATGCAATCACAAGTATTAGTAGAATAAATCAAACTGAAGAAAGAATCTCAGATCTTGAAGACTGGCTTTCCGAAATATGACAGTCACACAAAAATAAGACAAAAATAATAAAAAGGAATAAACAAAAACTCCAAGAAATATGGGATTATGTAAAGAGGCCAAATCTATAAATCATTAGCCTTTCTGAAGGGGAGGGGAATTAAAAGAAACAACTTGGAAAGCATATTTCAGGATATCATCCATGAAAACTTCCCTAACCTTGCTAGAGAGGCCAAGAGTCAAATTCATAAAATAACAGAGAACTCCCACAAGATTCTACACAAGATCATCTCCAAGACATACAGTCATTAGATTTTTTCAAGGTCAAATGAAAGAAGAATCTTTTTATTTATTTATTTATTTATTTATTTTAGTTTAGTTTTTTTTTTTTTTTTTTGAAACGGAGTCTTGCTCTATCGCCCAGGCTGGAGTGCAGTGGCGCGATCTCGGCTCACTGCAAGCTCTGCCGCCCGGATTCATGCCATTCTCCTGCCTCAGCCTCTCCAGTAGCTGGGACTACAGATACCCACCACCACGCCTGGCTAATTTTTTTTTGTATTTTTAGTAGAGACAGGGTTTCAATGTGTTAGCCAGGATGGTCTTGATTTCCCGACCTTGTGATCCGCCCGACATGGCCTCCCAAAGTGCTGGGATTACAGGCGTGAGCCACCATGCCCAGCTGAAAGAAAGAATCCTAAAAGCAGCTACAGAGAAAGGGCAGGTCACCTACAAAGGGAACCCCATCAATATAACAGCAGACCTCTCAGCTGAAACCCTACAAGCCTGAAGAAATTCAGGACCTATATTCAACATTCTTAAAGAAAAATATCTTTAACAACAAATTTCATATCCAGCCAAACTAAGCTTCACAAACAAAGGAGAAATAAGATCTTTTTTAGACATGCAAATGTTGAGGCAATTTGTTGCCACCAGACATGCCTTACAAGAGGTCTTGAAAAGAGTGCTAAATATACAAATGGCAGAATGCTACCAGCTAATACAAAAAGACACTTAAACACACAGACAAGTGACACTATAAAGCAACCACACAAACAAGCCAACATAATAACTAGCTAACAACAAAATGACAGGATTAAATACACACATGTCAGTACTAATCTTTAATAAAGACAAACTAAATGCCCCCACTTAAAAGGCACAGAAGGACAAACTGGATAAAAAAGCAAGGCCTAATGTTACGCCATCTTCAAGAGACCATCTCACAGGTAATGACACCCATAGGCTCAAAATAAAGGGTAGGAGGAAAATCTACTAAGAAAATTGAAAAAAGAAATAAAAGTATTTTCAGACAAAGGAAGACTTCAAACCAGCAAAGATAAAAAAGGACAAAGAAGGGCATTGCATAATGATAAAAGATTCAGTACAACTAAAAGACCTAACTACCCTAAATATATAGGCACTCAACACAGAAGCACCCAGATTCATAGAGCAAGTTCTTAGAGACCTACAAAGAGACATAGAACCCCAGACAATAATAGCAGAAGACTTCAACACTCCACTGACAGTATTAGACAGGTCCTCAAGACAAAAAATTAAAGAAGATATTCAAGACCTGAATTCAATGTTGAACCAAATGGATCTGATAGACCTCTGTGGAGCTCTCCACCCCAAAACAACAGAATATACATTCTTCTCATTGCCACATGACACATACTCTAAAATCAACCACACAATTGGACATAAATCAATCCTCAGTAAATGCAAAAGAACCAAAATTATACCAAACATACTCTTGGACAACAGCAAAATAAAAATAGAAGTCAGGAGTAAGAAAATTGCTCAGAACTATGCAATTACATGGAAATTAAACAATATGCTCATGAATAACTTTGGGGTAAATAATAAAAGTAAGGCAGAAGTCAAGAAGTTATTTTAAACTAATGAGAACAAAGATACGACATACCAGAGTCTCTGGGATACAGATAAGGCAGTGTTAATAAGAAAATTTATAGAACTAAATGACCACATCAAAAATTTAGAAAGATCTCAGATTAACAGATTAACATCACAACTGTAAGTATTAGAGAAGCAAGAAGAAATCAACCACAAAGCTAGCAGATAACAAAAAATAATTAAGATCAGAACTGAACTGAAAGAAATCAAGATACAAAAACAATCAAAAGATCAGCAAATCTAGGAGTTGTCTTTTGAAAAAAAAACTATTAAGATAGACTACTAGCTAGACTAATAAAGAAAAGAAAAAAAAAGATCTAAATAAACACAATTAGAAATGATGAAGGGAATGTTATCACTGATCTTACAGAAGTAAAAACCATCATAAAATACAATGAATAACTCTATGCACGCAAACTAGAAAAAGTAGAAGAGATGGATAAATCCCTGGACACGTACACCCTCCCAAATCTGAACCAGTAGGAAATTGATTCCCTAAAAAGACCAATAATCAGCTCTGAAATTGAATCAGTAATAAATAGCCTCCCAACCCAAAACACCCAGCATCTGCTGAATTCACAGCCAAATTCGATCAGATGTACCAAGAAGAGCTGATACCATTACTACTGAAACTACTCCAACAAATTGAGCCATAGGGTCCCCTCCCCAACTCATTCTATGAGGCCAGCATCATACTCAGACCAAAACCTGGCAGAGACACAACAAAAAATAAAATGAGGTTAATATCCTTGATGAACATAGATGCAAAAATCCTCAACAAAATATTGATGAGCCAAATCCATCAGCACATCAAAAAGCTAATCCACCATGATCAAGTAGGCTTCATCCTCAGGATGCAGGGTTGGTTCAACATATGCAAAAGAATAAATGTGATTTCATCACATAAGCAGAAGGCAAGCCCACATTATTATCTCAATAAATGCAGAAAAGACTTTTGATGAAATTCAATAGCATTTCATTTTAAATACTCTCAACAAACTAGGTATTGAAAAAACATACCTCAAAATAATAGAACAATCTATGACACACACTCAGACACTATCATACTGAATGGGCAAAAGCTGTAAACATTCCTTTTAAAAATTGGCACAAGACAAGCATGCAGTCTCTCACAATTCCTATTCAACCTAACATTGGAAGTTCTAGCCAGAGCAATAAGGCACAAGAAAGAAATAAAAGGCATCCAAATAGAAAGAGTGAAAATCAAACTATTTGTGTTTGCAGATGGTATAATTTTATATCTAGAAAATCTTATAGTCTGTGCAAAAGCTCCTCCAGCTGATAAACAACTTCAGCAACGTTTAAGGATACAAAATAAATGTACAAATATCACTAGGACTACTATACACCAACAGCCAAGCCGAGAGCCAAATTAGGAAGGCAATCCCATTCACAATTGCCACAAAAAAATATAAGATAGCTAAGAATACAGCTGATCAGGAAGGTGAAAAATCTCTACAATGAGAATTATAAAATACTACTCAAAGAAATCAAAGACACAACCAAATGGAAAAACATCCCATGCTCATGGATAAGAAGAATCAATATTATTAAAATGGCCATATTTCCCAAAGCAATTGACAGATTCAATGCTATTCCTATCAAACTACCAATGACATTCTTCCCAGAACTAGAAAAACCTATTTTAAATTTAATTTGAAACCAAAAAAGAGACTGAATAGCCAAGGCAATTCTAAGCAAAAAGTACAAAGCTGGAGGCATCAGGCTACCTGACTTCAAAGTATACTATAGTGCTACAGTAACAAAAACAGCATGGTACTCACACAAAAACAGACATATAGACCAATGAAACAGAGTAGCGAGCACAGAAATAAGGCCACACACCTACAGTCTTCTGATCTTTGACAAAGCTGACTAAAACAAGCAATGGGTAAAAGACTCCCTATTCAATAAATGCTGCAGGATAACTGGATAGCCATATGCAGAAGATTGGAAGTGGACCCATTCCTTACACTATATACAAATATCAACTCAAAATGAATTAAAGACTTATATGTAAAATCCAAAACTATTAAAGACCCTGAAAAACAACCTAGGCAATGCCATTCTGGACATAAAAACCAACAAAAATTTCATGACAAAGACAACAAATGCAATCCCAACGAAAGCAAAAATTGACAAGTTGGATCTAATTAAGCTTAAGAGCTTCTGCACAGCAAAAGAAACTATCAACAGAGCAAACAGACAACCTACAGAATGGAAGAAAATATTTGCAAACTATACATGGGACAAAGATCTAATATCCAGCATCCATAAGGAACTGAAGCAAATTTACAAGAAAAACACAAACAATCCCACTAAAAAGTGGGAAAAGGACATAACAGACACTTTTCAAAAGAAGACATATTTATGGCCAAAAAGCATATGAGAAAAAGCTCAATGTCACTGATCATCATAGAAATGCACACAAAAGCCACAGTAAGATATTATCTCACACCAGTCAGAATGGTTATTATTAAAAAGTCAAAAAATAAAAGATGCTGTGAGGTTATGGAGAAAATGAAACACTTATACACTGTTGGTGAGAGTAAAATTAGTTCAGCCATTGTGGAACGCAGTATGGCAATTCCTCAAAGAGCTAAATAAGCTGAACTGCCATTTGACCCATTACTGGGTAAATACCAAAAGGAATATAAATTATTCTATCATAAAGACACATGCACACAAATGTTGGTTGCAGCACTATTCACAATAGGAAAGAAATGGAATCAACTTAAATGCCCGTCAATGACAGATTGGATTTAAAAAATATGGTACATATATGCATGATGGAATACTATGCAGCCATTAAAAAGAAGATCACATGTTCTGCTGGAACATGGATGCAGCTGGAGGCTATTATCCTTAGCAAACTAACACAGGAACAGAAAACCAAACGCTGCATATTTACGCTTATAAGTGGGAGCTAAATGATCAGAACTCATGAACACAAGGGAACAACAGACACTGGGTCTAATTGAGGGTGAAGGATGGGAGGAGGGAGAGGAGCAGAAAAGATAGCTATTAGGCACTGGGCTTAATACTTGGCTAGTGAAATAATCTGTACAACAACTCCACCATGACATGAGTTTACCTAGGCAACAAACCTTCATATTTACCCCCAAACCTAAAATAAAATAAAACAAAATCCACTTTGCAGATATGCTAATTTAAACACACACACACACACACACACACACACACACCACAACACTGAACACTCTTTACAACATATTTTTTTCTTATTGACAGGCCTGTGACCGAACAAAAATTGCAATGCATGTGCTTTTATAGGCGTGTAACAGCATAATACCTATTCTGTTTTGCATTAAGACCTCTGAAAAAAGGAATGATGAGAAAGACAGATGTTGGATACTTTTCTATATTGAATAATGTTACAATATGCACACACCAAGAGAACAACCAATCCTTTTATTTATAATTAATTTTCATGTTGAATCATTTATTTTATTATATTTACCTTAGGGTAGCATTCCTTAGGATTTTATTTTCTAGATGGCTTACTGAGCAGTTGTATGAAATCATCTTGGAGTTAATAATTAGTTCAAATAATATTCAAAATGACAAAACTGCACATGTATAGCCAAATGATGATATTTTGTCTGAAACATTGAAGAGTGGAATTGATGAGCTCTTAGGATTTTTTGCACTTCTAAAATGAGAAGATTGATACTTTTGGTTACAAATCATTCTTTCTGAATCCAGTGTTTTATTTTGGATTGTAACAAGATACCTTTTACCTCTAAATCCTTTAAACTTATATTCTGTTTTCCACTAACAATTTAGATACTCACTAGGTTGTATCAACTACTTTCTCTGTTAGTAAAAGTTAAAAAATCTGGTTGGGTGTGGTGGTTAATGACTATAATCCCAGGACTTTGGGATGCTGAGGCAGACAGATCACTTCAGGCCAAGAGTTAGAAATCATCCTGGCAAACATAGAGAAGCCTTATTTCTACTAAAAATGCAAAAATTAGCTGGTCATGGTAATACATGCTTGTAATCCCAGCTACCTGGGAGGCTGAGACATGGGAATCGCTTTAACCCAGGAGGCAGAGGTTGCAGTGAGCTGAGATCAGGCCACTGCACTCCAGCATGGGTGACAGAACAAGACTGTCTCAAAAACTATATAAATAAATAAATAAATAAATAAATAAATAAATAAATAAATAATACAAAAATAAAAATGTACATTTTGTCTTTTTCTTCTTCTAATGGATGATTATTGCCAAGGATAAATGTCATTTCAGTGCTTTAATGCAGTCTGATAGTCAAAATAGTTTCAGGCACTAGCAGTAAGATCATATATCTTTGGGCAAGAAGATCGTGCATATAGCCCTTTTTCTGCAAGATACATGTATTGCAGAAGATATATATATATATATATATATATATATATATGTATATATATTTCAATCTGTATGTTTCATCCTACAGATTGAAATATGAAGAAAATCTAAACAATAAAATACAAGAAGTTATCCTGAAACTTAAATTAATTTTCTTTTAATCCCTTTAAAAGAAAATTAAAGGAATTGTTAATAATGGTTTCTTCAAGCTTCAATTCCTAAGACTGCTAAGGAAGTGCTAGTACTTTCAGTTATAAGTAAACCAATTTAAAAAAAACCACCATTTGCATAGCATATTTAAGAATACACTCTGTGGTATCTAATTATAGCCAAAATTATATTTTATAAATATGCCGTAGACAACATTTTCAGTAAGAGTAGTTCTTCTAAACATTTAGAAAACTAAACTATTTCCAGTTGTCTATTAATAGTTACCATAATAAAGAATGCATCACCCAGGCACATTTTCTTCTCCCATGAACAAAAGTAAAGTGTTAGCTATACTCTGCCTGCTTTTTCTAGAATTACAAGGTACAATTCTCAATGGAAATGAACTAAATTTTAAGAGTGATATGTAAGATATTGTTCTCCTGAGCCTAAGTTTCAGTTAGTGAAGACAGCCAATACAAATACATCTATTCATTGCACAAAGAGAATAGATTCATGGGGTGAGAAAAATTGTCAGTTTACCAAAAATACCCAGGCAAAGTCTTGAACTAAACAATCTCCAGTATAAATTGTATGCTTAAATACTTTTATTATGAGGATATTAATATAACTAAGTAGCCACTTATTAATGAATGGATTGAACAGAATCATTTTATGGTAGTTTACAGCATTAATATTCTATTATACAACTAATAAGTATTTTTAAATAAAGAGTTTTTAAACTGAATTCAGGACTATTTAGAAGCAAAAGTAAAAACCAAAAGACAGAATTGTGGTATTAAGGAAAGTAGATGGTTAAAAGAACTTAAGACACAATATTACATTTCATTTGTTGCAAAAATTATCACCAACTTTTAAAAGATACATAAAATATATTATACTAGAGAGAATAATAATCTATTTCATTCTGCTGATAATAAGAGTATTGGTAGAAATATAGAATACAGAACGGAATTTATAACTTATTTCAAATGCATGCACTTCCCTATGAAGTTGTGTTATGTGTGACAAATACCTGACTATGTCCTCAAAGATTGTGAAAATTCATTCTATAATGCTCCACTTATTAGTGTCACCACAAATTATTTCTAAAGTCCTGAGTAGTTTCCTCATACCTAGGAAAAAGAGATGCCCTAGTATCCTCTTACTTATAATCAACCATGTGGGAAGCTGTCATCTCCTATTCCTCAGAATATAACTCAGTCCAATAGATTTTTAATGGCATGCAATCATACTTTAAAAGGAGTCTGTTTTCCTTACCAGATAAGGAGGGATGAAGACTGCATATTTCTGAGAGAGCATATAGACTAATCTGAAAGTAGGATAAAATAATGTTTTAGATTCTTTCCTGGGAACAGATTTTGGTATGAGTAGAGAAAGACAAAAGGTAAAACACTAGACAGAAAAATATGTGATGGGGCCAAACAGAAGGAGGACAGTGAAACAGAAAGATTAATTACTTCAAATTAAACTATTTTAATTACTTTAAAGTTAATTACTTTAGAGTTTTAACAAAAGACAATCCTATGCTTCCTTTATATCGTTTCTCAGAATTTGACAATATTGCTTGATTCAGAGAAACTCAGAATCATCCCTAGTTTCTTAATAACTATGGCATTCAGCTTCCCACATAAGAAAAATTATTTGCTATCTTACCCTTAAAAATCACTTTCTTAAAAACCTAAGGCATAATTTATATATAATATATGCAAAAACATTACATGTACAGTTGTATGTTTTGACTAATTAGAGTATTTGTACACTTCTTTAAATCTTCAAATGCCCATTTTCAGTAAATAAACTCCAAAGTCAAACACGGTTTGATTTTTATAAACATAGCTTAGATTTGACTGTTTTAGAACATAATATTAATGGATTAAAACATATGTTCTCTTTTCTATCCTGCCTCTGTAGCTCAGCCTACTATTTTAAGATTCATGTTATTGAAAATAATTTTTATGTTGCTTTCTTGTAAATTTGTTTGAGTTATTTGCAGATTCTGGATATTAGCCCTTTGTCAGATGAGTAGATTGCAAAAATTTTCTCCCATTCTGTAGGTTGCCTTTTCACTCTGATGGTAGTTTCTTTTGCTGTGCAGAGGCTCTTTAGTTTAATTAGATCCCATTTGTCAATTTTGGCTTTTGTTACCATTGCTCTTCGAGTTTTAGACATGAAGTCCTTGCCCATGCCTATGTCCTGAAAGGTATTGCCTAGGTTTTCTTCTAGGGTTTTTATGGTTTTAGGTCTAATAATTAAGTCTTTAATCCATCTTGAATTAATTTTTGTATAAGGTGTAAGGAAGGGATCCAGTTTCAGCTTTCTACATATGGCTAGCCAGTTTTCCCAGCACTGTTTATTAAATAAGGAATCCTTTCCCCATTTCTTGTTTTTGTCAGGTTTGTCAAAGAACAGATGGTTGTAGATATGTGGTATTATTTCTAAGGGCTCTGTTCTGTTCCATTGGTCTATATCTCTATTTTTCAATTTTTAATTTTCATGGTACACAACAATTATACATACTTATTGGGTACATATGATATTTTTATATGAGCATACAATATGTAGTGACCAAATAAGGGTAATTGGGATATTCATTACCTCATTCACTTACCATTTCTTTGTTTTAGGAACATTCTAATTCTACTTGTCTAGCTATTTTAAAATACACAATAAATTATTGTGAACCATAGTAGCCATATTGTGATACCAAATACTTGATCTTATTCTTTCTATCTAACTACATTTTTGTACCCATTAACCAACCCTTGCCCCATTCCCTTCCCAGTCCCTGGTAACCATCATTCTACTCTACGTCTCCATGCAATCGATGCTTTTTGGCTCCCACATATGTATGATTACAGGCAATATTTGTCTTTCTGTGATTGGTTTATTTCACTTAACATAATGTCCTTCAGTTCCATCCATTTTGTTGCAAATAACCGGATTTCATTCTTTTATGTGGCTGAAAAATATACCATTGTTTCTATATTACATTTTCTTTATATTCTTCCATCAATAAAAACTTGAACTGATTCTATATTTGGGCTATTGTGAATAATGCTGCAATAAATATGGGAATGCAGCTATCTCTTTTACATACTAATTTTAATGCATTTGGATATGTATGTAACAGTGGAATTGCTGGATCATATGGTAGTCCTATTTTTAGTTTTTTGAAGAACCTCCATACTGTTCTTCATAGTGTTTGCACTAATTTACATTGCCACCAACAGTACCCAAGGGTACTCCTTGAGAAAGTTTATAGTTCTTTGTTTATATTGCTGAGTAGTTTACAATTGTACTACTATACCATAATTTATGCATCCATCTACCTGCTAAAGGATATGTTCAATGTTGGAACTGTAATGACCATTTTGTGTAAATATAGGTATTCTATTGCCAAGCTGTTTCCCAAATGGCACCATTTTCTACTCTCAACCACAACTCATGAGAGTTCTAACTGCTCTACAACCTCATCCATATGTGGTGTAGTAAGCCCTTTTTATTTTAGCCATTTTGGTTGGTGTGACATTTTAACTCAAAGTGATTTAATATCCACTTTCTTTATGACTATTAAGTCAGTCAACTTTTCATAGGCATAGTGGGCATAGTTGACATTTACTTACTTTTTTGTGTCTGGGGTCGATGTCATTTATCCTATTTTTAGTACGTTATTTGTCTTTTTATTATTGAGTTGTAGGAGATCTTTATATATTCTGAATGTCAATATTTAGTCAAACACATATAGGTAATATTTTCTTTCAGTGCGAGGCTTGTCTTCTCATTTGGTTAAGGTATCTTTAGAGCAAGGGGCAGCAAACTACATCCTAATTTACTTTTATTTTATGTTTTATTATAGAGACAAGGTCTTGCAAGTTGCTCAGGCTGGTCTTTAAACTTCTGGGCTCAAGTGACCCTCCTTCCTTGGCCTTCTAAAACTCTGGAATTACAGATGTGAGTCACTGTGCTCCACCCTATAATTCTAGATTCATGCTTAGGTATAAGTTACACATTGAGCTAATTTTTAAGTATGGTAGAATTCAATTTATAAACCAAGGCCTGCCTCAGCCTCTGTGGGAATATCAAGTTGTTCCAGCACCATTTGGTAAAAAGGCTGTCCTTTTCTTACTGAATTACCTATACTTATGTTTAAACATGGCACCATCTATCCCATTGGTGTTTTCGTGTATCATCATACTAATAACATATTTTTTATTTCATTTTCTACATTGTTTTGTCTCTACTAAGTCTTTTAAATGTCCATATTAATTTTAGTTTAAGTTTGTCATCTTCTTCAAAAGTTCATTTTTGTATATAATGTAAGGAAGGGGTCCAGTTTCAATCTTCTTCATATGGCTGGCCAGTTATCCCAGCACCATTTATTGAATAGGGGGTCTTTTACCCATTGCTTGTTTTAGTCAGTTTTGTCAAAGATCAGATAGTCGTAGGTGTGTGGCCTTATTTCTACACTCTGTATCCTGTTCCTTTGGTCTATATGTCTGTTTTTGTTACCAGTATCATGCTGTTTTGCCTACTGTAGCCCTGTAGCATAGTTTGAAGTCAGGTAACAGATGCCTCCAGCTTTGTTCTTTTTGCTTAGGATTGTCTTGGCTATTCAATCTCATTTTTGTTTCCTTATAAATATTAAAATAGGCTTTTCTGGTTCTGTGGATAATGTCATCAGTAGTTTGATAAGAATAGCATTGTATTTGTAAATTGTGTTGGGCAGTATGGCCATTTTAATGATATTGATTCTTCCTATCCATGAGCATGGAATGTTTTTCCATTTGTTTGTATCTTCTTTGATTTCTCTGAGCAGTGTTTTATAATTCTCATTGTAGAGATTTTTCACTTCCCTAGTTAGCTGTATTCCTAGCTATTTTATATTTTTTGTGACAATTGTGATTGTGATTGCCTTCATAATTTGGCTCTTGGCTTGGCTCTTGTTCATGTATGTGAATGCAAATGGAAAAAAGAAAAAGCAGGGGTTGCAATCCTAATTTCAGACAAAACAGACTTCAAACTAACAAGGATCAAAAAAGACAAAGAAGGGCATTACATAATGCTAAACGGTTCAATTCAACAAGAAGATCTAACTATCCTAAGGCAGTTAAAGAACAAGAACGATAAGGAAGAATGTTAATTTATCATCTAAGAACGAGAAATACAAAACATGCCACATGACTTAGTCTCCAGTACTTAACCTCTCCATTGACATAATAAATTTAGAGGGTCCTGAAATTTTCTTTTATTTTACAGGTACAATAAGAAACCTGGGTGTTGGCTCACAGGAGACGAATACTGTGTCTGTAAAGATGCCAGAGGCCAAGGAGACACATTCATTTTCAACACGAGCCTAAAGTCAAAAATCAAAAGTTAATTTGTTTATTAGCTCTAACAGTTTTCTGGTGAAGTCTTTAGGGTTTTTCTGTATAAGATTATGTCATCTGAATAGAGGTACAATTTGACTTTCTCTTTTTCAGTTAGATGCCTGTTATTTATTTATTTTGTCTGATTGCTTTTACTAGGACTGGGGAGGAGCAAGATGGGGCAAGGATGAGAAGAGACTGATCATTTGGCATGAATTTACAGTTAGATAGGAGGAATAAGTTATGGTGTTCTGTGGCATGGTAAGGTGACCATCGTTAACAGTAAAATGCTGTGTAACACAAAACTGCTAGATGACAGGCTTCATAATGTTCTCACAACAAAGAAAGGATAAATACATGAGGTGATGGATATGCCAAATACCTTGCTTAAATCGTTACACTATCTGTTGATCATTATATCATACCATATAATTTTATATATGGTATAGTTTATTATAGTACATATTATTATATGTTTATACTTATATACATCATATGCATTATATTATACATATACACATTACACAATATATGCATATATTATATATAATTATATATAAAATGATATCCCATAAATATGTGCAAATACAGTGTGTCAATAAAATAAGTGTGTATTGTCCCAAAAGTAAATGAAGAATTGAATTGAATTGCCCCTCACATTCAAACTAATGCTGTATTATCTTCCCAAGGTTACTGATGCTCAATGATTCTCTTGAGCTAGGAAGGCTAGGTATATCAGAATATCTTTAATCCACCAGGGATTGGTTTTAGGTTTCTCTATTTAAACAGTGATCAAATTATGTGGATTATATGGACTTTTAAAATAACACTGAAAAGTATACTTGCTGCATATTTTCTTCTCTGTGTGATACTAGAAACGACTCTAAATTGAGAACAATAGATTGTTTCCACGTTACAACAATGTCACTTAACAGCTAAGTGACATTGGACAGAAGAAAACATGGTACTTCAGTTTTCTGAGTTGGTAAATTAAAATAAAATCTACAAACAATGATTGTAAGTGCTGAATTACTGAAACACAACAGGGTTTGTTATACAGTAGTTTTCCATTGTGCATGATAGGTGTCAGATATCAGTTTAGATACTGTTTCTTAATTTTTCTATGTTTGCCTCAGCAAAGAGAATAAACTTCACTAGGAGGAACAACAACAACAAAAAAACTTCAGAAAGAATGAGTAGGTTTTAACCTATGGAAAGTTTGTGGCTTCAAAGGCATCCCCATCTAAATTAAGACTGTTTGATAAGGGTGAGGTTTTTGCTGATGGTTGAGGAACTATTTTAGAGATTTTGGAGTCCACAGTATATATTGCAGAGTTAAAACTGAATTCTGAAAAATTAAGCAAACCTTATTTTTAGCACATTTGATCTTAGTCAAAAAATCTTGGATAGTTAAAAATGTCATTCATTTATTTATTTGAAGTTGTCGAGACTGTTTTGCCAGCATAAGAAAAGATCCAAGGATTGAGGACAATTGCTCTTTCTATACAATAATTTTGTTTACTACTGAGGCTGGACTACTCATTCTGCCATATATTTTGAATATGAAATGTTGAGTGCAATAGCAGGAGAAAGAAAATCCCGAGTGTGTGGTGTGTGTATGTGTGTGTGTGTGCACACATGTACGGGAAAGAGCTCACATGAATGGGAGTGTTTATGCATGTACAAGTTGTGCATGTCTGTGGGTGGTTGTGAATATGTGTGAATAAGTTAGAGAGAGTGCTGTTTTTGAGAGTGTTATTGTTTTTAACTGTGATGGTGTTAAATAAAACCATATGTGAGTTCAATGAATATATGCTATTTTGAATGGAAAAATATATACATATTAAACTGTTACAATGCTCATTGAACTTAATTAAGCATTAGTTTTAGGGCCCAAATAATTTTGAATCTGTATGCCATTTATGAAATAAATCATCGATAAATTCAAAACAGAGAATTTGTAATTAAACTTGTAAACATACTCTCCTTTCATTTGTAACACATTTCTTTTAATGATGCACAAATAGTTTCTATTGTGTTAGACTGAAACTACTTTCTTAGACATTATTGAAAGTATAATTGATAAAAATATGGGGTATTCATATCTATAATGTGTTGCTTTATAGTCTAAATTGACAAATTCAATAATAGTTTTAAGTTTTTATGTTTGTTTGTTTTGTTTTGTTTTGTTTTGTTTTGTTTTGTGGCAGAGTTTCATTATTGTTGCCCAGGCAAGAGCGCAATGGTGAGATCTCAGCTTACTGCAACCTCTGCCTCCTGGGCTCAAGCGATTCTCCTGCCTCAGCCTCCTCAGTAGCTGGGATCACAGGTGCCTACCACCACACCTGGCTAATTTTTTGTATTTTTGTAGATACAGGGTTTTGCCATATTGGCCAGGTTGGTCTTGAACTCCTGACCTCAGGTGATACACCCTCCTCGGCCTCCCAAAGTACTGGGATTACAGGTGTGAGCCACCGTGCCCAGCTAAGTGTTTTTTAAAAAACATATTTTAGTAAGTTGATTTCCTCAGATAGCTATGTTACGTCGATAAATCTAATGCAGGAAAAAATATGCACATATTATAATTTGCATAAACCGTATTGCACATACAATAGAAATGAATTGTTTACATAGTACTCTAATTTAATTTTGGAATTTAGTGTTGGGAGTGAATCCTAGAGTTGAACTATTCCTAGCACCTCATTTTATATGAGGGAATTCAAAGTATCTTATTAGTCTGTTAAATGAGTTGCTCTTTGTGGAACTCTAATCTGTCATTAAAGTCCCAAGACCTATGACACCTTTTAATTGAAATCATCTCTGCTTTTGGAAAGTTTTTAGTCATTTGTAAATTTGAGTTGTTAAACATTCTGACCAATTTTTCCTATAAAGAAAATTTTAAGGGCAAAATGTGCCATTGGTTTTTGAGTTTTACATAACTCTGGAAAATCATACTGTGTGGTGTGAATTTTGATGTGTGGGGGAGATGTAAGGCTCTATATGTAGATGTGGGGAAGATGCTTGGCTATAAGTTGATGTAAGGGGAGGACTATAAAGTTTACTAGTTTGTGAACAGGTTTAAAAAATGTTGCTGTCTATTCAGGGAGTTAGGAAATACACTACTCAAAGCCTGATTGTGTGGAACCATTACTTTATCACTATGTTGATGATTCTCAAGTCAACATTTTCCTTGAAAACTTACTTGAGCTCCAGGCCTATTTATATAACCATTTATTGACTACCTCCACATGGACATCCCAAATTTATCACACAAAAGCCTCCTCCTCTTCTCACCAAATCTATTTCTAGGCCAGGTCTTTACAATAATACCGTGCTCTATCCAGCCAAACACACAAAAAAATTGAGGATAATATAAGATTCATCTTTTGTCTCTCCCTGATTCCCGACCCAGTCAAACCCTGTGTATTTTATGTCTTAAATATGTATTAATTTTTCTCTTTTGACTTTAGGTTCATAGTAATATTTTTCTACTGGATTACTCTGACAGTCTTTTAACATTTTTTGGCCTAATTTTAAATGTGTTCTCAGAAAAATTGTTAATTATTTTTAATGTAAATAGTTAATACTTATATTCTTTTATGCAAGATTCTTAGGTGACTTTTTATCATTTTAAAAAGAAACCTAAACTTCTCAAAATAAAATCCAAGGCCTTTCATGATTTGTCTCTTTCCTTAGTAATCAGGCGTGATTCCTGTCACCATTTCTGCCATTGTTCCAGCAAAGCTGATGTACTTATAGAAGTCTTAGCCCTTCACATTCTGAATGCTCTATTCTTTGCATCATCTGCTTTTCTGCTTTGCCCATGCTTCATCATTTTGTGTACCTTTTAAGACTCAGAGTAAATATCATCTCTTTTAGTAAATGTTACCTAATGTGCTCTTCTCCCATATGTCAACATTAGACATTCCTCTGTAATGGTCTCTTCCTCTGCTTACATAGCATTTAATAAAACAATTGTGTTTTCGTATGATTATCTTTCAGATTGACTAAACAGCCATGTCATAAATGAATAAAAAATAAGAATAGTCTTAGGTTTACTATAATATTAAATAATTTTAATATTATTGGCCATGCATGGTGGCAAACACCCGTAATCCCAGCACTTTGGGAGTCTGAGGCAAAAATACAGTTGAGGCTAGGAGTTAGAAATCAGACTGGACAACAAAGCAAGACCTTATCTCTACAAAAAAATGAAATATTATTATATGGACTGAAATATTACATGGACTGAATACAGTATTGTACTGTATTCGAGATAATATTATCTTCCTTTAATATGTAGGTTTTTAAAATGAAAAAACTAGTGAAGATACAATCAGTATATTAAGCAAAATCAGAACCTCAGAGATAAGAAGAAAAACATACATGTTGCTCAGAAGTATTTATCCAGGGAATCAAATGAAGAGAATGACTCGAGGTTTCACAATGTATTTAAAGTTCACAGGCACTCATCCTTTTGATCGTCTCTCTACTTTAAACATCTTCACTTAGCTTATGAGCAGGAACATTGATTTTTACAATAAGGATGTCAGCTCCTATTTACAGCGTTTCTGACCTTGGCTGAGCACAATCATCACAATTGCAAGCATTCCTACATTTGCTGTACTCATATTGCAAATCCAGGTCATTGTAATTCTTGCCCTAGGTAGGTTACTTGACCCAAATTATTAGTTACTCATTTCATAAATAGATTTGTTTGTCATACTGATCTTATATGTAACACTTTTGTACTGTAAAAATTTAATACAGTTAGAGAAATTTGGAAAACTGTTTACAACACAAACATGGCTAGTAATACTTCCTTCTAAATTATTTCTATTGATAAATATAATAAAGCATATATTTTGAGGCTTGAGGCTTGCAGCTTCAGAACCTGGAGAAATCCTACATGGAAAACTAATTTTTTAATTAGAACTTAAAAATATGACGTCTTTAAAAATTTGATACCACAATTTTATAATAAACTGAAAAATTCATCAATTAGCTTAAAAACTGATAAGTGTAAGAATGGCTGAAGAAAAATTTATGTGCAAAATAAGCTTTTCAGTGGGCAAGGATATCTAAATGTCAGATCACTTAAATAGAGGCATAATATCAATTAATAGTTTACTATGCTGATCATGGATAAGTGACAGTTCAATTTGAACTGTAGCAATAATTTTATGAGACTTCCATTTCATTTTCACAGTAACTCAATACAACATTATCTTTGTAATATACAACAGATATTGGGCTGCCACTTTTAGATATATTTATTCAGGTCAAATAAAATTTATCTTTTTTAAAAAAAGCTTTTTAATAAACCTTTGAAAATCTGATTCCCCCCCTCCTTTTTTTAACGTAGCACAAACCACAGATATCACTGGAAAAGTGATTAATGTTACAGCCTCATCAAGTGTACTGAAACATTATTGAAAAATACAGATTCATAGGTTTCTGGAAGTCTTTTATGTGTTTACAGCCTTGCAGAGCTTCCTAATTTTCAACCAGGTACCCCTGACACTCTTTCTAAGGCTAGGAATTGAATGTCCCATTATTTCTCTTCTTACATGGCTCATCATTAGAGTTTTTTTCTTTATTATTATTATTATTATTATTATTATACTTTAAGTTTTAGGGTACATGTGCACATTGTTTAAGTGGGAGAAAGATATCGAGTTTTGGAAAAAGAAAGTGAAGCAGAGCCACTCTTTGAGGAGGTCATAGTGGCTAGAGCAGTGCAGACCTCTCCACAAGCTCCCACTTCAAAACTGGTGCTTTCTCCATCCTGTCCTGTCCCTCAGGCTGAAGTCTTTCATGGCTCTTCTACAATCTTCCCATTCCTTCCTTCCAGATGACCACTCCCACAGTTCCTCAGTCCTTCCCACATATGGATAAGCTCTAATCCTTCCATTAAACTTCTTTATTTGTCTAATTCCTCTAGTTGCTCTCTTTCCTTCACTGGACCTAGACTGATATATCACCAAAAGATAATTAATTCCTTATCTCACTGGGATATTCTATGTCTGTGAAAGAATGAATAGCTTAGAAGGACACACATGGTGCTTTGAGGGAGAACAGGATCACCCACATGTCAACTGGGTCAGTCAAGTCAAACCTTATGAAAAAACAGAAAACAGAGTTAACATCAAGGGCACTTTTATTCACAAAACAACTGGAATTTCAGAAAAAAGGCATACCGAAAATTATCTACTCCAAAATCTTAAACTTGAGCTACAAATGTGGCCATTGGAATGTATGACTTTTCTGAAGACAACTAAGTGACTGTTACAGTTTACTCACTAGTGTTAGTGAGGACTGGGGCTAGAAAAAGTGGTATTCTCTGTGCTTAAAGAGTTTAAACTCTATTAACTATAGGTTAGAAAGTCACAGTGGCATTTTTTTCTTTATGAGTTAATAGCTTGATTGTAGCACACATGCATACACATATGTATAATATATATTTATATATAATTTGTCAATTTAAATGTTTGATTTTGTAGAAATCTAACTACTTTTGGGAAACTAGTTGAACCCCTTTATGTTCTCTGTGAAGCAAGAGCTCTCCCCCGTTGCATATAGTTTTTCTATATTATGAGTTTCCTTTGGGTAAAACTTTAGAGAGAGTGTCAAAATATAATTATTTCAATGTAATATACACTTTATTTCTTGGCGGTCTTGAAGATCATCCTGGGGTGTGATAATTCCTTAGGAGAACTTTGAGAACATAGCAAATAGTTATGCTCACAGCTATGATTTATTGAAGTAAAAGAATACCAAGAACAATAATAAAGGGAAAAGTCTCATAGATGGAGTCTAGGAGAAACCAGAATCCAGCTTCCAAAGATTCTCTTCCACGGGAGTCACACCAGATATACTTAGCTCAGTAACAAGTGGTGAGCACAGATGTGAAATGTCGCCAAGTAGGAAAGTTCATTAGGCACTCAGTGCCAGAGTTTTCACTGGAGGCTGATCACATAGATAGTCTCGCCTGGTAAGCACACAAATCTCATCTCCCAGAATAGAATCAGGTGTTCTATATAAACAATATTGTTTGCTCAAACAGTTTAGACACAGTGAACCACTCTTGTAGATTAATGTTGGGAACCTTCCCAAAATCTAAGTTCTCTTATGCCAGCCAAAGGCCAATCTTGTAAGCAGGCCTTTCAAAGGAGACCAGTCAGATCTGGGTGTTAACTCTTTTCTATACACCCTATATTTACAATTTGATTGAAAATATACCTGAACAAGTACCAAAGCTGTGGTCATTGATGTCAGGGCTTAAAGATCAGGTAATCCCTTTTAGTTTAAAAACGTTTGAGAGAATAGAGTGAGGCTTCTCTCATGAGATTTGGTAAGATAGCTACTCTATGTAAAACACTGATGGCATATGGTTTGGCAGATTTGTCTCAGCTTGAAAGACATTGGTTTTATAGCTGATTTCCCAATTTTACACACTAACCAAGACAGTATCTCTTGAATTAGAGTATTGGATTCTGTTATTTCATGTTTTAGTTTCCTTTTTGGCTTGTTTGTTTTTATGAAAATAGGTGAGCTGTGTATATCAATGTTATAACTCTGTTCAAAGATATTCTAAAACAAAAATCATAATCATACCCTGTTCTCCACACCTGCTTAACGGTTAGGTATTTCCTTCTCTGGATACTTACAGCTACTATAATGTGTATTTATGATAATGCATTACATTGTAATGTAAAATTTATTAATGTGTTTCCATCTCTCCCCAAAAGATGAGCTTCTAAAAAATCATTACTGTATCCAGAACTACTATACTAACTACTACTAACTGATAACAAATATTTATTTTCTAATGAGTAAATTCTTTGTATATATGTTTGTACTGAAGTAATGGCTGATAGATTAAATAACAGACATTAAAAAATTATAAAGCAGGTCTTGTAAACTTAAAGAAAATTAAGACATGATAATACAGCATGTTTCGTTCTGCATGATTTATTTTAAAAGCTTTTAGGAAAGTCATTCTCTTATTTGAAAATGAATATGATCTTTAGATATTCCAGGGTCTTTAGAAGTTGATGCTAGATTAGAAACATGCTTGAAACATTTAAACTGTAAAACTGCAGAAAAAAAAAAAAAAAAAATGGTAAGTTCCATAACCCAACCACAAGAAAGAATATAGTGTAAATGACTTCTAAGGCTATTATGGCTAGATAAACTGGAAGAAATGGAGAGTATTTCTCTTCTTCTCAAGTTAGAGTCTCTTCTCTTTCCACCAAGAGCCAAGAAATCTTATATAAGCCCTCCTACAACAGCAGGCATTTAGATTCATAAGTTCCTTGGTATTTACGGGCAGCTGCAGCTAGCAGAACTGGGGGGGAGTTCTACCTCCTGGAGTTCTAGAATTTGCAAAGATCTGTGCATAACAAATAGGAACAGAAATAACTAGAGCTATGGAATGCACTTGAAAAAAGTTCTGAAAATCGGAACTTGAATCAATTTCAACCTTAGTGACTGAGATTTCTCTGCATTTACAATGCCAATCTTCATCCAAGGACTTGACCATTTGATAAGGTATTTAATTGGATGCATCAAAGTAAGGGATGGGAAAAATTTTGATAATGGGACAGCAAAATCTATTTTCTAAGCATCCCTTGACTAAAGTTTTTTCTCAGTACCCAATATGGAATTGTTAAAATGCATGTCACAACCCTATTATGACTATGTTCACTTAAAGATTACTAGCTATTAACTCTTTAATTTTATTCAGCAATACACACTTAAGTACATCTTTGTTTTCCTTACAAAAAATCCAGGTATCAGCAATGTGTCTTCTTTCACCATATAAAGGTTACTTTTTTCCCAGTATAATGGAATAGATAAAATCTATTTTTACATTTGCTCTAGATTCAACCAGTTGATAGATGTTCCTCCTCCTGTTCACTAGAACCACCAACACTGCTTACATTACGGCCTTTCCTCTGGGAATTTCAGGATGCTGCTACCCCTGATATGATGCTGCCTCATCTGAATGGGTCTTAGAGAGGTAGAAATGTGGGTTAGTCCACACCTTCCTTTTGACCAGCTTCCTTTTTATTTTAGATTCATACACATGTAACCTAAAATGCCTACAAACTAGTAGAACCAAAGGCCTTACTTTAAAAGAAATATCTTTCTGCCAGACTTCTCTCTTATCTAGTCTCACTCCACCCTGAGAGCTACTTTCAAACTTTTGTTTTTTGAGATAGCTACATCGAAATCGCTAAAAACAATATCTTATAGCACTATTTTTATGTAATCTAGTTCAGATTTTATGTACTGAATTTCTTCTGTGGTGGATGAGGATTTAGCTCACTTACATTACTTCCTTTCCTCCATAACTCCTACCATTATACTTATATCATTTTTAAAAATTTATTATTTAATGAGCTTTACATATTTAAATATTTTCTACATATATATGTGTGTTTGTATATATATACACATATATGTGTGTACATATATATACATATATGTGTATATACATATATGTGTGTGTGTGTCTGTATATATATATATATATATATAATTTTTCTTTTTAAAAGGCAGTGTCTCACTCTGTTGCCCAGGTTAGAGTGCAGTGGTGCGAACTCGGCTCACTGCAAGCTCCGCCTCCCAGTTTCACGCCATTCTCCAGCCCCAGCCTCCTGAGTAGCTGGGACTACAGGCGCCCACCACCACGACCGGCTAATTTTTTGTATTTTTGGCAGAGACGAGGTTTCATCGTGATAGCCAGGATGGTCTTGATCTCCTGACCTTGTGTTCCTTCCACCTCGGCCTCCCAAAGTGCCGCTGTCTGGTCCTAAAGTGTGCTAGCTCTCTCTTGCATCCTCTTTCTCTCTCTCTCTCCCCACCCACCTCCCTCTCTCTCACTACCTCCCTACACACACACACACAAACACACACTTTTTTAACTTTTATTTACTGTTTCCCTTAAAACTAAATTATGCTGAAGTTTGTTGGTTGCTGATGAACTCTTCTTACTCTGGTTGTTTTTGTAGTGTTTACTTACTTTCCATACCATTGGTATTAGTCATCACTATTGTCTAGCAAATATTTCTCATTTTCTTTCTAAGTACATGGTAGGATAACACTTCTTTGCACTTTTGGATTTATGCATTGGCTAGTGAAATAGAAACAGGAGTACGAGCATATTTATTGAGACTGGTAAATCATAAATTATTTCCCTTATACATGCTACAATTTGTAGCTGTGATATCATTATTGTTGAAAGAAACTGGTTTCAAGGACTTTGCTCATGAAAATGATTAAAATTTACTAGTGTTCTTTAGGAACTCACTATATAAAAGCCATTAGTCAAATAAGTGATCATTAATCTCTTACACATGGTGGTGGAAAAAATCCTAAAATTTGGTCCTAAGTGTATGTATCATGGAGAATCAGATAAGGCTGAGCATGTTCGACAAACTGTGGGCCAAACCGTGGATATATTCAATGTGCACAAATGCTAATACATTTACTGTCGATGATTTTACTCTAGAAGAGAAAAAGTAATAAAATACCTTCAATGTTAGAACTCTGGTCATAGAAAATGAAAAAAATCAACTGAAATATAGAATACAACACAATGTTTGTCATTTAGCTATGTCTTTAGCCAAAGTGTGTCCATGTCTTATGAATAAGGAGAGCTTTGGAAAAAGTTAAATTCTGGGTTATAAAAATATATTTAATATATGATGATCTAAATAACAACATTTTAGGGCTCCTGTAAGAAATTATAATGAGGAGAGGATGCAGGTATTTCTTAAGTTACCACAGAACCCAGTGCATCAGCAGCTGATAAACTAAATATGCGTCGGCAGGTTAGAGAGATCTTCCTCAGAAGTTCTTGATGGAATAAACAACTTTTCACCCTCTATTAGGGGTAAGAAATGGAGACAAGTAAATTGTGGCAGACACCACATGGGAGTTACATGACTAGTTTCTGAGGACATTTGTTCTTATATTTTCAACAAATGTAAGTACCAAGCATAGTAAAAATGCCAGGATTTGGTATATACAATATTAATAGAATGCATTATTTGCACAAAGGAGCTTAACATCTATTGAGTGATAAAAAACAACTTAGATCAGCAATTAAAGTTATCTTTAATAAGTGCTATATTGGTGCATGCACATTTTCTGCCACTCCATGACAACTGTTAAAAATACTACCAGTTGGAGGTTATTTGGAAGAAGCTGGATTCCTTCAATAGGAACTGAGCAAATTCAGTGAAATATTATTGCTTTAAAATAAAAATAGACTGCTTTATTTTAAAGCAAAAACAACACTTCCAAGATGAGAATAAGTGTGTGTACACATGAGCCTTCTTAAATAGATTAAATATTTTCATATTCTGCACACTGAATGACATCATTTGGCTGTGCCCCCACCCAAATCTCATCTCGAATTATAATCACCATAATCCTCACATGTCATGGGAGGGACCTGGTGGGAGGTAATTGAATCATGGGGGCAGTTTCCCCCATACTGTGCTTGTGATAGTGAGTGAGTTCTCATGAGATCTGATGATTTATTAAGTGTGTGGCATTTTCCCTGATGTCATTCATTCTCTCCTCTGCTGCCCTGTGAAGAGGTACCTTCTATCATAATTGTAAGTTTCCTGAGGACTCCCCAGGCATGTGGAAGTGTGAGTCAATTAAGCCTCTTTTCTTTATAAATTACCCAGTCTCAGTTATTTCTTCATAGCACTGTGAGAACAGACTAATACTGTAAATTGATACCAGGAGTGGGGTGCTGATGTAAAGATACCTGAAAATGTGGAAGCAATTATGGAACTGGGTAACAGGCAGAGGTTGGAACCGTTTGGAGGGCTCAGAAGAAGACAGAAAAATGTGGAAAAATTTGAAACTTCCTAGAGACATGTTGAATGGCTTTGACCAAAATTCAGATAGTAATATGGACAATGAAGTGTAGGCTGAGGTAGTCTCAGATGGAGATGAGGAACTTGTTGGGAGCTGGAATAAAGGTGACACTTGCTATGTTTTAGCAAAGAGACTGGCGGCATTTTACCCCTGCTCTAGAGATATCTGGAACTTTTAACTTAAGAGAGATGATTTAGGATATCTGGCAGAAGACATTTCTAAGCTGCAAAATGTTCAAGAGGAAGCAGAGCATAAAAGTTTGGAAAACTTGCAGCCTGGTGATACGATAGAAAACAAAAACCCATTTTATGGGGAGAAATTCAAGCTGGCTGCAGAAATTTGCATCAGTAACAAGGAGTAGAAGTTTAATCACCAAGGCAATGGGGAAAATGTCTCCAGGTCTTGTTAGAAACCTTCACAGCAACACCTCCCATCACAGGTCTAGATGCCTTGGAGGAAAAAATGGTTTTGTGGGGCAGCCCCAGGGTCCCCCCACTCTGTGCTGCCTCAGGACATGGTGCCCTGACACTTAGCTGCTTCAGTTTCAGCCATGGCTAAAAGAGGACAAGGTACAGCTCATGGCATTGCTTCAGAGGATGCAAGCTGCAAGCCTTGGTGGCTTCCACATGGTGTTGGGCCTGTGGGTACATAGAAGTCAAGAATCGAGGTTTGGGAACCCCTGCCTAGATTTCAGAGGGTGTATGGAAATTCCTAGATGTCCAAGCAGAAGTTTGCTATAGGAGCAGAGACCTCATGGGGAACCTCTGCTAGTGCAGAGCAGAAGGGAAATGTGCGGTGGGAGCCACCAGACAGAGTCTCCACTGGGGCACTGCCTAGTGGAGTTGTGAGAAGTGGACCACCATACTCCAGAACCCAGAATGATAGATCCACTGACAGCTTGCACTGTGCACCTGGAAAAGCCTCAGGCACTCAGAGCTAGCCATGAAGGCAGCTGGGAGAAGGGCTGTATACTGAAAAGCCACAGGGGTGGAGCTGTCCAAGGCCATAGGGGCCCACCTCTTGCATCAGCATGACCTGGATGTGAGATATAGAGTCAAAAGAGATCATTTTGGAACCTTAAGGTTTAACGACTACCCTACTGGATTTCAGACTTGTAAGGATCCTGTAGCCCCTTAGTTTTGGCCAATTTATCCAATTTGGAATGGCTGCATTTACCTAGTGGCTGTACCCCCATTGTATCTAGGAAGTAACTAACTTGCTTTTGATTTTACAGGCTCATAGGCAGAAAGAACTTGCGTTCTCAGCTGAGACTCTGAACTTGAACTTTTGAGTTAATATTGGAATAAGTTAAGACTTTGGAGGACTGTTGGAAAGGTATGGTTGTATTTTCAAAAGTGAGAACATGAGACTTGGGAGGGGCCAGAGATGAAAGCATATTGTTTAGGTCTGTCCCGACCCAAATTTCATCTGAATTGTAATCCCCATAATCCCCACATGTCATGGGAGGGACCCAGTTGGAGGTAATTGAATCATGGGGGAAGTTTCCCCCATGCTGATCTCATGATAGTGAGTGAGTTCTCATGAGATCTGATGGTTTTATAAATGTCTGGCATTTTGCCTGCTAGCATTTATTATCTCTCCTGCTGCCCTGTGAAGGGGTGCCTTCCACCATGATTGTAAACTTCCTGAGTCCTCCCCAGCCATGCAGAACTGTGAGTCAATTAAACCTCTTTTCTTTATAAATTACCCAGTCTTGGGTATTTCTTCATAGCACTGTGAGAACAAATAAATACACTGGATCTAATAATGATTCTCTGTCAGCTTGTTATATAGTGTAATGGATCTTTTAAATTCTTAGTTATTGGAATTCTTAGTTGATGTATGCATGCATGTGTGTGTGTTTCAATACTTGTCCTAAAGCAATATGCCCTAAGCAGTATTGCGTCCAGGTCAGGTTTTTTAGAATATGGATTTATGTGATTAAAGCAGTCATAATTGTGTTCATATTTCTATTATCTCGAAACAAAATAAGTTATACTAAATGATTAAAAAGTGAGGATTATTTTTATGTATCCTTAAAGATGTGAAAGGTATATGAAACATGGTTCTAACAGTGTTTTGCTTTTGTTGTGTTTTGGTATATAGAAAGTCACACTTGAAGATGTAACAATCCTTCCTCTCCTTGCTATCTCATTCTAATTCTCTCCACCTTCCCCCTTTTTTTCCTTTCCTGCTCATTTTTTGTAAGTGATCAATTTGTTAATTTTGGATTTCTTCTTTCTGTATTTTTTGTGCAAAGGTATACATGTAATTTTTCCATATGAAGGATTGCACTAAAGTTTTTCACTTCTTTTTTCATGTACTGGAAATCACTTTATATCAGTTCATGGGGAACTTTGTGGTCCATTTTAAAGCAACTCTATATTGCAAATGAATCAAAATTTGTGTACTCACTCTCTTATAAATGAGCATTTAGTTTGGCTTCAGTATTTTACAATCACAAAGAAGAGTGTATACATGTGTTTATATGCATTTTCATATTTTTGGATATGTATTATTAGGATAGGTGCCAAGAAGTTTAGATTGTTGAGTCAAAAGTTAAGTGGTCATGTGGTTTTGCTATGATTGCCAAACTTCTGTCCTGAGAAGTTGTACCAGTTTGCATACTCACCAACAATTATAAGAATGCCTATGCTCCTCCAGACTGACCATCATAATATGTTGTCATATTTTAAAATATTTACCAATCTAATAACTGAGAAATGGAATCTCAGTGTTGTTTAACTTGATTTTTCTAATTATGATTGAATTTGAACATTTCTCATGCTCAATAGCCATGTTTCTTATTGCTTTTATGAATTTATGTATTATCTGTTCATCTTTTCTCCTATTTTTCTATTATTTCTCTACAAGATAGTTGCCAATTAATCATTATCTATTAATTATCTAGGTCATTACAGTAAAATTTTTGGTATTTAGAAAGGCTTGTAATTTTTTTTATTGGTGTATTAGTGTTCTATAGCTTCCATGACAAATTATCATAATTTAGTGTATGAAAACAACACAAATTTATTATTCTAAAATTCCATAAATGAGAAGTTAGATTCAGGTATCACTAGGCTAAACTCAGATTGTTAGCAAGCCACATTCCTTTCTGGAAACTATAGTGGAGGATCCATTTCCCGATTCTTCAGTGTCTTGGCAAAATTTACTTCCTTGTGGTTGTAGGACTGAGGTACCAATTTCTTTACTAGCCATGGACTGGGGCTTGTTCTTAGCTTCTAGAGATTGCTACATTCTTTGGCTCACATCTCCCTTCTTCCATCTTTGAAGTCAGCAACACTTGGTCAAGTCTTTCCTACACCTCACCTCTCTAAAATACTTTTGTGCCTTTCTCTTCCACTTTCTAAGATTCATGTATTATATTCTGCTCAGACAATACAGGATAATCACCCTATCTCAACATCCAAAAAACATTATAACATCTGCAAGTCCTTTTTACCATTAAGATAACAAAATTCTAGAGTAGGTTTTGGATATGTTTGTGTGGCCATTGATCTGTCTACTATAATTTGTTATGTTGGTGTACACATCATTTTAATGTCCCTAGTTGCTTTTCTTATTTAGTCATTGATTGTATATTTTGTCAGATTTTTAAAATTACTTTCACAGTCTTCATTATCATTTAACATGCATATGCTACCTATATAATGCTATTCCTAAATTATTCTTTCCTTTTTTCTTCTCTCATTTTTTTCACTCATTTGCATTATTTCTATTTTATCACAGTACATGACACTTGTAAATGGTCTTCTACCTTCATGCCATCTTCACTTTTGTTCCATATGTAACTATATGTATTTAAACATGCTAAGCATAATTTTTGCTGAATTTTCCCTGTCATAATTTGATTGTATAAAGCTAATTTTCTAGATTTCATAAGAAGCATTGATGATTACATACATTGAAACTGGTTTTCTATTTTTAAATTTTTTTAAATTTATTAATATTTTTTGGATACAGGGTATCACTCTGTCACCCAGGCTTGAGTGAAGATGGCAAAATTTTGGCTCATTGCAGCCTTGACCTCCCAGGCTCAGGTGATCCTCCCACCTCAACTTCCTGAGTAGCTAGTACTACAGGCATGTACCACCACACCCGGCTAATTTTTGTATTTTTTGTAGAGATGGTGTTTCATCATGTTGCCCAGACAGATTTTTTTTTTTCAATTGGTTAGATATTTGAAGGATAGCTTGGCTAGAAATAAAATGCTTAATTCACACATTGTTTCATCTATATAGAATGCATAGTCTATTTTTGTCTTGTTTTGTATGCTGGTTTTGCAAAGTTTGATGCTAACATAATTCTTTTGTAACGTATTTATATTTTTGTTTTAAGACCAGGAAGATTGCATCTTTATATCTGAAATCAAAAAGTTTTATTCAAAGATCATTGTTTTAGGTTGATTTTGGGTAATCTAGAACCTTTGTCAACTTTCAGATTCTGATTAATTTTTATAGATTAGAGTGTTAAATATTAGCTCTGTTCTTTTGTTTTTCTTCTTCAGGGGCTGATAGGATAAAATGTCATTCCTTCTTTGCGTGCTTCTTTCATTCTCTTGGTTGTTTTCCTACCTTCCTTCGATATAGCATATTAAATTTTCATTGAGTGTATACTCCATTGGATACCTTCTAACTTATTCTTGATTTCTAATGTTATTCTTTGTTTTCTTCCATTTCATTTCTAAATTAAATAAAATATTTTCTCACTTATTCCTATTTTTTGTTCATATTTGTTTTTTGTTTGTTTTTAAGTTTCTGGTACATGGTGAGTTTTAATATCTTCAAATGCTCATTGAATATATGTAATTCTGTTTGATTAGTAGACCTACCATTTATATTCTTTATGACTGTTACTCCAAGGGATACTTTTCCTCATTTGTTTTATATGAACATTTGTTACCTGATCTTCTGCAATACAGTTTTCTATGAGCTTTTTTTTAATTCATTTTATGATATTGAGGAGTTTTTCATGATTTGTAATTTGCTAACCTACTTTTCTGATAATTTATTAACATCCAGTCACTTTAGAATAGTTGTTTGGTTTGGTGATAGGAGATGAGTTGTTGATTGCTCATCCTCTGATTTTGTGGTTCTGTTTTGCCTTCCATCACACCAAATGTTTTCTTTTGTCTTCTTGAATCTTCACCATTTATTTGCCAGATGGTGATTCTTCCTTCTCTTTCCCTCTTTTTCTCATCCAGAAGCTATGTATTCAGAAGACTATTTTTTGTTTGTTTGTTTGTTTTTGGTTTGTTTGTTGTTTTACAGAGAAAGTAGTACTCTGTCGCCCAGGCTGGAGTGCAGTGGCACAATCTTGGCTAACTGCAACCTCCACCTCCCAGGTTCAAGTGATTCTCCTGCCTCAGTAGAGGTGGGTTTTCACCACGTTGGCCAGGCTAGTCATGAACTCCTAACCTCAAGTGATCTTCTTGCCTTGGCCTCCCAATGTCGGAAGACTATTTATTTAAAATCATGCTTATTCTTCAAATTAGGCTTGGCATACTTTGTTCCTTTAAATCAAGTAAGTAGAAGTTCAAGAGATCTATTGTACAACATGGTGGCTCATAACAATATATTGTATTTTTGCAAAATGCTAAGAAAATAGATTTTAAGTGTTCTTGCCACAAAAAAGTGATAACAATGTAAGTTGATGCATATGCTGATTAGTTTGATTTCACCACTTTTTAATGTATATATATTTTTAAAAATCATGTAGTACTTAGTAAATATATACAATTTTATCTATCAAATAAAAAATAAAATAAAATATTGTCTAAAAAGAAAGAAAAGTCACTAATTAAAAGAGACAGATTTTGTTGGGGAAAAAAAGTCAGGTAAGTAGAGTTTGACCCTTTGATTCAAGAACCTAGCCTTTTTTATGACAATTATCTCTTATACCCTACAGCCTACTTTTATATGGCTTCTGTATTTTGGTAATAAATATTCCTTCTGTATTCGTCCTAGACAATATATATTGCTTTTCAATATTTGTGTTGAATAGATTAAATAATCAAATTGTCAAATACCTTACAGAGCAAATCAAAGCTGTCATTTTACAATGTTTCTAAATCTTTCTAAATGTTTTTCCATTAAAAAAATTTGTATAATTTAGGAAAAGGAAAAGGAAAAGAAAAGAGGCTGCAGACCAAAATGGTAGCGTAGCTTTTGCCTAGAAGTGAAGTAAATTTGTCAGTAGAAATAATTTTTTAGAGTTAGGAATAAAATTGGGAATCTAGGAAGATCTAAAGATAACAATTAGTGTTTATATTATGCAAGTTTTCATTTATATTAATATATTCATTATATTTCATTTATATTATGCAAGTTTTCATTTATATCATCATTTATATTTCATTTATATTAAACAATTAGTGTTTATATTATGCAAATTTTCATTATACATATTAAGTTTTCATTTATATTATATTACATTAAACACTGAGTTAGCTATTTTACTTCATGCAAGTCAAAATGTAGATTTTCAAAGTGCTGGTTTTGTTTCTTACAAAAAATTAGATGTCTAATTAATAATAGACTATGTTCCTGATAAAAGCAGATACTAAATATGACTATCCCTAGATAAGTACATAGAGATGCACAGATAGGAAGCACCACAAGATTCTTTCATTGTTAGCATTTCAGAACAAGAAAACTAATGTACAACAAATTAAAGAAAGATGGTTCTAAATCCAGTTAGTTGACACAGAGAAGGTTGTATTTTGTCAAGTGAAATACTTTTCCTGTATATTTAGAGAAATAGATTAAAGGAAATAAAGAGCACCTGCTATGTTTTGTCTTGCTTTTCTTTCCTTTAGTTTTCTCAGAGTGTAAGAATGTTTTTAAAAGAGGCATCTGAATAATTGGTGTTAGGATCTGCTACTAGTGGATGACCCACCCAGGTTGTGGGTGCTAAAAAGAAAGACTTTTAAAAAATATAAATAAAGAACGAAGGCACAGGTCACTCCATTAACATCATTATGTACTGTAGCTGCCAGCTGCTCTGGTTAAAACTAAGACACTTTATTCCTTAAATGCATCATCCTATTTTATTAGGCAACATGGTGAGTTCTTAGAGAGACAGTATCTGCCCCCTGAGTGACTTACTCAGTGGATCTACAGAAGAATTATGAGTGAGGACAAAGATACTCACATTTTAACTTTTAAGAATTATTGATTACTTTTTTGAATGATTAATAACTTTGTTTTTTTCTCTTTTTTTTTCACCAAATGCTTGCTTCTCCCACAAAACTCAGTAGAAAGAACCTAGTAGTGGTATGTGAAGGTCCTTAGTTTGTGTGGGTGGGTTTAGAATTTTAGAGTCATAAACCAATCTGATTTTCAGATTTTAAATGACAATAAGCACAAAAGAAAATAAAGAATTTTAAACAGAATTAATTCAAATGAGAGACTCATAGGATCTATACTTCAAACAGATGTTGGTAATACAGACAAAAATTAACTACAATTAGCTAAGATACATAATAGAACCAATAAATCAACTAGTTCAAAGAAAATGCAATGCAAGGCAGAGCAAAGCATAAAACTTCCCTTTGCAAGCGCTATGATTAATGTGGTTTGTGCACATGGAGTTAATTGTTTGGTATTATTAAAGGCAAACCTCGTGAATGAAGGGTTAAAATTTTAAATTATAATGAAGGAAGAATTAATTGATAATTGCTCAACTTTCTCCCGTTTTATAAAGTGAACTTTTCTTTTTCTATTTTTTACCATCTGTCTGTCTTTCTTACAAACTATAATGTGAAGTGCTGATTGAATCTTGCCATTCAGATAGAATTCTTTTTCTGTTTTGTTCTTCAAAAATGGCTAGTTTTATGCTTTTAAGTTAGAAATAAAATTACTTTCTTACCTGGAAATCCTAGTTCACCATTCAAAGAGAAAATAAGGAGAACAACTGATGACGAAAACTAGATATTTAAAATGTATATAAATGCAAATTAAAACAGAGATATACAGACAGAGCTTCAAGCTGATTTTCATTAAAACTTTTAGGGACATCTCACCTTTCAGTCCTCATCATCACCTAAAACTTGCCCCATGCCACAAACATTTAGCAATACAAATATCAGAAAAATTTTTAACTAAGAATGTAAAAGCATTAACCCTGAAATGAAATGCCATTAAATACTTCTTTATTCTGTAGCCTTACTTGGGACTAATAATACCTGTCCTATGTCCCATAGAATAGTTGTGAGTACTGTATAAAATATTGTATATAAAAAATGCTTTGAAACTATAGTGCACTATGTTACTACAAATTGTCATTTTTATTTTTATTTTCTAAGGTTTTTTGTAATCTTTTATATGGTGAAACCATGGATGCTATTAATCAAAAGAGAAGGCAGGGAAGGAAAGACTCTGCATAAAATCTTTCAGAAATAACAAAGGCTCTTCGTAGTCCCTCCCATAGATTCAGTAAAGCCTAATTCTTTTAAATGTCATTCATGTCCACACATACCCACTGCCCCTGCCCCTGAATACAGGTCATCAGTAAAGTGATAGTTATGCCACTTTTGAGCTCTCTAGGTCTTTAATAGATTTTCAGATCATATTTTAAAATTTGAGATCAGAGGAAGGCCATCGTAGTTTCAATTCACTCCACAGTCACAAGAATGTACTTGAAATGTCTCATCGAGTGTAATGATTGTTGTGACAGCAGTGACTAAAACAAAAGGTACTTTTTTAGTACTTATGTCCTTTCCAACTCAGTGAAGGACAGCTAATCTCTACAAATTGAAACTTTTTGGCACCTTTAAAAGGGAGGCCCTAAATATTTGCCAAATGATATTATCAAAGTAATAAGCACTTTTTAAAGTATTACCAGGTGTAAATATTGACTGTAAGCTATAAATTTTTGGCTTTTGTCAAAGCAAATTTACTCAATATTTCTATTTTGTTTTTAAAGACACCTTTCTGCCTCTCCTCCCATTACTCTTTGTATATATGAGATTAGGTTTTTCTAAGGTCAATTTGGGCCTGTCTCATTCCTCTGTTATTACAGTGTAAGTTCGTATTAGTCATCCCTACATACTCGAATCCTAAACATTGAATTGTACATAGTTAGCATCAACAAATATTGGTTGGATTATATTGGATCCAATATAATTATCATGCATATATGTGGATAACAAATGTAATATACATGTATTAGATAATTATAAACTTCAAGAATGTGAGCCTTATATATTATGCCTTTTGAGCAAAAGATGACAATATACTGATTTTCATGACTGAAAGCTGCCATGCTCAACTATTGGAACTATTTGAGATTTTAACAGTTCCCTGAAAATGACTATCAGCAAATCCATTTCTTGCAATAACTTTCTTCTTCCATATTGCTGTTCCAGTTGCTGACAGGTGATCTATCATTTTACCTCAAAATGCTACAGTGACACAGTGAAAATTGCTAGCTGAAGCACTAGTATAATGAAAAAAGAGAAAAGGAAAAGTGAATATATATAGTTTGTGAGTTTTCTAGTTGTAATGCCACTTCATGCTTCTTGAAGTGCTGACGTTCAGGGAAGTATAAATTAGATTAAAAAAATTACAGTACTAAATAGTCTTTATAATGAATAAGCAGGATAACTTATCTCACTTATTCTTAATATTATTTTAGCACATTTGACTTCTCAGTACAATAGTTTTACAAAGGTAAACACCTTACTCTTTCTGTACAGTTTAGTATTCATTCACAAAAAAACTGAAAATTATTCTTGTAATTTTCTTATTCACTATTGCTACAAAAAATCTGTCTATTCTTGATATTACTACACTTGAAATTTGCCACTAGTATTATCATTTCATTACCTATTCATCTGAAAAATGTTCTAAATTATATCAGGACAGATTCATTAAAAAATTAGATTTATATTTAAGATACTGAAAACAGTTCAAATAAAAACAATTCTTGTATATGTTTCAGAAATGTAGCTGGAAACTAGTTGTACCTATACTGGAATTTATCCTAAAAGAGATTCAACTGAAGAAAATAAAATATCAGTAAGTCAGAAAACAAAGCATAAATACAGCACAGAAAAATTGAGGGCAGATTTGGTGTCATGTGATTCTTAGCCTAAAATCTTTTTCTCGCTGTTTTAAGCTGTTTGTGTTTCAGTCTCCATCATTCTGCAATGGGGATTATATTGACATCATGTTGAGTGAGTCCCCCACAACCACTTTTCCTTTTACCTTTCCAATAGTCTGTGTTTTCATCTTTCAGATTCTGGTGGTTATAGGAAGCTGATCCTATCTTCTTTCCAAGTATGGGGCATATGAGAGAGACTTAACAAATTACTTCGTCTTATCGCCTATCCATATTTATAACCCAAACGGCCCAATCCAGAATGAGTCAGGACATGGGCTTAATATGTGGGGGCAAAAGGCACTGTCACTCTATGTAGTTGTACTGAGGCCATTGCCACTGCTGATATTTGTTGTTCTTAGAGCCAGCCTGAGAAAGCACTGGAAAGAGTCAGAACCCAGAAATTCCCAGGGGAGGATCTAATTCTAGTGAAACCCACACTACTTCTAATCTTTTTTATTGGTTCAATTATTTGTATCAATAAATTTCCTTTATTTCAGATTATTTGAGGTGGATTTTCATGGACAGCTTGTCCCCAGCTTACAATGATTTGACCTAACAATTTCTCCACTTTATGATGTTGCAAAAGTGATACACATTCAGCAGGAACTGTACTTAATTTTGGATTTTGATATTTTCTCATGCTAGCAATATGCTGTTCTGTACTCTCACAATGCTGGGCAGGTACAGCGAGCTGCAGCCTCCAGTCAGCTATGCAATCCCAAGGGTAAAAAACCCATACTCTACAGCATATTGTGCTTATTGTATTGCCAGATGATTTTGCCAAACTGTGGGCTAGTGTAAGTGTTCTCATCATGTTTAAGTAAGGTAGGCTAGGCCAAGCTATGATGTTTGGTAGGTTAGGTGTATTAAATGCATTTTCAATTTACAATGGATTTATCAAGACATAGCTTATGTAAATGGATGATCATTTGTGTTTTTAACATACCCCCAATTTGGGGAAAATAATTCCTCCAGTCTATTGGTTATAAGGTTTAGCAATAAAGGTTGACAATGTATCTCTAAAATGTCTGAGGGCAAATGTGCTTTAAATTCAGAATTTTTCATTTATAAACAGAAGATGCAATGCATATACTACATAATTGAAGGCAACACTGCCAGAAAGATCTGTTTCAGTAACCAGTAATTCAACTCATTAATATTTCTGCTGCAAGATGTGTGAACACTCACAATTAGAAGGATTTTTTATTTTTTAAAGGAACTACAAAGAGCCCATTTGTAGATTGTCCATATCAGGCTTTACTAAAAACTAAAATTTGAAGAGAAAACTGGATGCAGAGCTCTTTGGATTTTAGATTTTCAGTTAAGGGTATGCATACATTTTCTTTCTTTTTATACTATATATGTAAAAATATACATTGTGTGTGTACAGGTGTGCAAATTTTATGTCATAATATAGGTTCTTATTTACCTTATAAAATTTTGTTACATTAATTACTGGTGTCACAGAGTGCTTTTTTATGAGATAGAGTTTATAGTCAAATTATATTATCATCATAATCATCATAATCAACATCATTCAAAGGATTAATTTTATTATCGCTTATTCTGCCATGTTTCTCAAATGTAGTTAGACTGAATTAAGAATAATTTTTCTGAAATGTAAATAAATGCATTTTTCATGAAATACATTTTAAATATTATTTTAATTATTAAAATAATATATTTGTGGGTTATATACTTTATTATTTTACTATTTATAATAAAATATTATGGGTATATAATAGGTGTATATATTCATGGGGTACATGTGATGTTCTGATACAGTCATGCAATATATAATAATCATAGCAGGGTAATTGTTGTATCCATTACCTCAAACATTTATCCTTTCTTTGTGTCAGAAAGATTCCAATTCCACTCTTTTAGTGAAAGTATAGAATACTATTGTTGACTGTAGTAAGCCTGTTGTGCTATCATATACTGTGTCTTATTTGTTCTACCTAATTATATTTATATAATCATTAACCATCCCTACTTTTTCCACCCCCCACCCCACCACACACACACACACCCCACAGCTACACTTCCCAGCTTCTGGTAACCATATTCTGCTCTCTATTTTGATGAGTTCAATTGTTTTCATTTTTAGCTCACACATATGAGAACATGCAAAATTTGTCTTTCTGTGCCTTGCTTATTTCACTTCACATAATGTCCTCCAGTTCCATCCATGTTGTTGCAAATGTCAGAATTTCATTTTTTATGGCTGAATATTTCATGATGTATATGTACCACATTTTCTTCATCCATTTGTCTGTTGTAGGACACAGGTTGATTCCAAATTTTGGCTATTTTGAATAGTGTTTCAGTAAACATGGGAGGGCAGATATCACTTTGATATACTGATTTCCTTTCTTTTCAGTGTTTGCCTAGCAGTGGGATTGCTGCATCATATGGTAATTCTATTTTCAGTTTCTTGAATAAGCTCCATACTGTTCTTCATAGGGAATGTACTAATTTACATTCTCACCAATGGCCATTTTTATTTTTTCTTTTAAGAAACGTCTATTTTAGATTTTGTTTTTTTTAGAAGTTTCATAGTTTGAGGTTTTAGATTTAAATCTTTAATCCATTTCGATTTAATTTTTGTATGTGGTGAAAGATGGTCTAGTTTCATTATTCTGCATATAGATACTAACTTTTTCCAGCACCATTTATTGAAAAGACTGCCCTTTCCCTAATGTATGTTTTTGACACCTTTGTCAAAAATCAGTTGGTTATAAATGTATAAATTTATTTCTGGGTTGTCTATTCTGTTCTATTTGTTTATATGTCTGTTTTTATGCCAGTACCATACTCTTTTGATTACTATAGCTCTGTAGTATAATTTGAAGTGAGGTAATGTAATTCATCCAGTATTTTTTATTTCTGGAGAGCTTAGGACATTTTCAACTATTCTGGGTTTGTTGTGGTTCCATATAAATTTTAAGATTATTTTGTATATTTTTGTGAAGAATGTCATAGGTATTTTTATAGGAATTGTATTGAATCTACAGTTTGCTTTGGGTAGTATGGATATTTTATAAATATTAATTCTTTCAATCCATGAACATGGAATATCTTTTCATTTTTCCTGCATTCTCTTCAATTTCCTGCATCCATGTTTTTGAGCTTTTATTATAGAGATCTTTCACTTTTTTATTAAGGTTATTCCTAGGCTTTTAATTTGTAAGTGTTCCAAATGGGATTACTTCCTTGATTTCTTTCACTTTTGGTATATAGAAATGCTACTGATTTTCGTAAGTTGATTTTGTATCCTGTAACTTTACTAAATTTATCAGTTCTAACAGATTTTTGGATGCAGCTTTAGGTTTTTCTAAACATAAGGTCATGTTGTCTCCATCTAGGACTTCCAGTGCTATGTTGAATAACAATGGATTAAAGTGAGCATCCTTGTCTTGTTTCCACATATTAAAAGAAAGCCTAAGAGTTTTTCCCTGTTCAGTGTGATACTTTCTGTGTGTCTATTGTGCATGGCTTTGATTGTGTTGAGGTATGTTCTTTCTATATCCAGTTGTTTTTAGAGTTTTTATCATGAAGGGATGTTGAATTTTATCGAATCCCATTTCAGCAACAGTTAAAATTATCATTTAGTTTTTGTTTTTCTTTCTATTGATATGATGTATTACACTGATTTGCATATGTTGAACTATCTTTCCATCTCTGCATGCATTCAACTCAATCAAAATGAATCATCTTTTTATGTGTTGTTGAATTTTGTTTGCTAGTAATTATTGATAAGTTTTCCATCAACGTTCATTACAGATATCAGTCTAGTTTTCTTTTTTGGTTGTGTCTTTCCTTTCGGTATCATGGTAATACTGGACTCATATAATTAGTTTAAAAGTATTCTCTCTTACCTCAGTTTTCAGAATAGTTTGAGTAGAATTTGTATAGTTTTTCTTTAAATGTGCGGTAGAATTCCGCAGTGAAGCCATTATGAAGCCATCAGGTCCTGGGCTTTTCTTTGCTGGGAGACTTTTGTTAAAGCTTGTATCTTGTTACCTATTATTGGTCTTTTCGGGTTTTGTATTTCCTTATAGTTCAATAGGTTGCATGTGCCTAGGAATTTATCCATTTCTTCTAGGTTTTCCAATTTATTGGCACGTAATTGCTCATAGTAGTCTCAAATGATTCTTCAAATTTCTGCAGTATCACTTGTACTGTCTCCTTTTTCATCTCTAATTTTATTCATTTAGGTCTTCTCTCTTTTTCTCTTAGTTCTGGCTAAAGATTTGTTAATTTTGTTTAACTTTTCAAAAACCAACTTGTTTTTCATTGATCTTTTGTATTTTTTGTTTGAATTTTGGTCATTTCTGCTCTGATCTTTAGTATTTCTTTTTACTATGAATTTTGGGTTTGGTATTCTCTTATATTTCTATTTCTTTAAGATATATGGTTAGTTTACTTATTTGAAGTTGTTATTCTTTTTTGATGTAGGCTTAGTGCTATAGCCTTCTCTCTTAGTAATAGTTTTGCTGTATTCTATAGGTATGCTTTGTTTTCATTTAAATTTGTTTTAATGTAATTATTAACTTCATGGACCACTGGTCATTAAGAAACAGATTGTTTCATTTCCATGTGTTTGCACAGTTTCTGAAGTTTCTCTTATTCCTAACTTCTAGTTTTTTTTTTTGTTTTTTTTTTTTTTTTGGAGTCTCACTCTGTCTCCTAGGCTAGAGTGTGCAATCTCGGCTCACTGCAAGCTCCGTCTCCCAGGTTCACACCATTCTCTTGCCTCATACTCCCGAGTAGCTGGGACTACAGGCATCTGCCACCATGCCTGGCTCATTTTTTGTATTTTTAGTAGAGACGGGGTTTCACTGTGTTAGCCAGGATGGTCTCACCTAATTTCTAGTTGTATCTCTTTGTGGTCAGACAAGATACTTGAAATGATTTTATGGTGCTTTCTGGAATTTTTAAAACTTATTTTGCGGCCTAATGTATACTTGAGAATGATACATGTGCTGAGGAGAAGAATGTATATTTTGCAGCTTTGGTGTAAAACATTCTGTAAATATTTATTAGGTCCATTTGGTCTGTGGTACAGATTAAGTCTTATGTTTCTTTGTTGATTTTCTGTCTGGATGATCTGTTCAGTGCTGCAATTGGGGTTTTGAGGTCTCCTGTTATTGCATTGAAGTGTCTCTCTTTAGCTCTAAGAACTTTGGCCTTGCATATCTGGGTGTTCCAGGGTTGGGTTTATATATATTTATAATTGTTACATCATCTTGCTAAATTTATTTTTTTATCATTATATAATGAGCTTCTTTGTCTCTTTTTATAGTTTTTTTCTTGAAATCCGTATTATCTGATATAACTATTCTGCTCTTTTTTGGTTTCCATTTGCATGAAATATCTTATTCCATCCCTTTATTTTCAGTCTGTGTGTATTTTCATATGTGAACTGAATCTGTTGTAGGCAGTATATAGTTAAGCCTTGGTGGGTTTCTTTGTTTGTTTGTTTGTTTGTTTTTTATTTCATTTTTGTTTTTGTTTTGGTTTGGTTTGGTTTGGTTTTTTGGTCCATGTAGGCAGTCTATGTCTTTTGATTGGAGAGTTTAGTCCATTTACATTTAATGTTATTATTGATAGATAAGGACCTACTACTGCCATTTAGTTATTTGTTTTCTGTTTGTATTGTGCAAAGAGGAAACTATTAAGAACTCTACAATTTACCTCTCCATGCATTCTAAATTTTGTTCCCCTCATTTATATTTTTTATATTTACACACCACAATTATGTGGTGTGTAAAATGTTCTGTATTTGTCTGTGTATTTACTGTTACCAGTAAGTTCTGTACCATCAGATAATTTCTTATTGCTTGCTAACATACTTTTCTTTCAGATTGAAAAACTCCCTTTAGCATTTCTTGTTAAGACAGGTCTTGTATTTACGAAATTCCTAAGCTTTTGTTATTTTGAGAAAGTCTTTATTGCTCCTTCATGTTCAAAGGCTATTTTAACTAAGTATATTATTATAAGATACAAATTTTATATTCTTCAGAACTTTGAATATGTCGTGCCACTCTGTCCTGGCCTGTAAGATTTCCACTGAGAAGTCTGTTGTCAAAAGTATTAGAACTCCTTTAATTGTTATTAGTTTCCTTTCTATTGCTGTTTTTAGAATCCTTTCTTTATTCTTGACCTTTAGTAATTTGATTATTAAATGCTTTGACGTAGTCTTATTTGGGTTAAATCTGCTTGGAGTTCTATGACCTTCTTATACCTGAATATTGATATCATCCTCTAGGTTTAGATTGATCTCCGTTATTATTTATTTGAATACATTTTCTACCCCAATCCCTCTTTCTATCTTTTCTTAAGGCCAAAACTCTTAGATTTGCCCTTTTGAGGCTATTTCCTCGATCTTGTAAGGGTGTTTCATTCTTTATATTTTTTCCTTTGACTGTGTGTTTTCAAATAATTTATCTTCAAGCTCACTAATTCTTTCTTTTGCTCAATTAATTCTGCTACTGAGAGACTCTGATACATTTTTTAGTGTATTAATTGAATCTTTTAGCTCCAGAATTTCTGCTAGATTTGTAAAAATTATTTCAATCTCTTAATGTTTTCTAACTGTATTCTGAATTTCTTCTCTCCGTTTTGTTAATGTTTTTTGAACTTCCTCAAAACAGCTATTTTGAATTATCTGCCTGAAAGGTCACAAATCTCTGCTACTCTGGGGTTGATTCCTGGTGCCTTATTTACTTGATTTGGTAAAGTCATGTTTTCTTGCATATGCTTAATGTTTGTCGATGTTTGTTGAGGTCTGGGCATGAAAAGTTAGGTATTTATTGAAATCTTCACTGTCTGAGTTCTTTTGTACTTATCTTTCTTGAGAAGTATTTGAAGTCTTAATTCAAAGGGAATTAAGTATTGTGATCTAAGTATTTGGTCACTGCAGGTGTATCTGCACAAGGGACACAACAAGCTCCTTAATGCTGCAAGTCTTGCAGTCTCATATACCCCTCGTGGGTTTAGGTAAGATCTTGGAGAACTCCCCCGATTACCAGGCAAATTCTCTCGTTCTCTTCCCTCATGTTCCCCCAAACTGAAGGGTCTCTCTTTCTCCTTGTTGGACTGCCTTCAGCCAGGGGAGGATTGATGCAAGCACTTCCTTGGCCACCACAGCCAGGATGCCCTGGGTCAAACCTGAACCCAGCACAGTACTGGGTTTCACCCCAGGACCATGGTGACTACTGCCTCACTACTACTGATGTTTATTCACAGCTCAAGGACTTTTTAGTCTGCAGGTGGTGAATCCTGCTAGGACTGCTTTCTTCTGTTTAGCACAGCAGATTCCCTGCTAGCCCAGGGTGCATCTAGAAATGCTGTCCAGGACCTATGGCCTGAAATCAGGGGCTTCAGGGATCTTCTCTGTGCTTTAGTTTATTGCAGCCAAACTGGTGCCCAAGTTGCAAGACAAAGTTCTGTTTACTCTTCCCTCTCCTTTTCACAAACTGAAGTCTCTCCCTGAGCTACTCTGGGTGGAGTTGGGGGAGGGCTGATGTAAGCATTCCCTTGGCTGCCACAACTGGGTATTGCTTGGTCACTTGTACTCCAATTCCACCAGCTGTGAGCCCAGCACAGCACCCATACTTGCCCAAGGACTGTAGTTCTTGTGGCCTGATTACTTTTTGAATTTATTCAGGACCCCAGGGCTCTTTATTTGTTTATTTCATTTTTTTTTTATTTTTGGAGACGGAGTCTCGCTCTGTTGCCCTGGCTGAGTGCAGTGGCACGATCTTGGCTCGCTGCAACCTCCACTTCCCGGGTTCTAAGCGATTCTTCTGCCTCATCCTCACAGTAGCTGGGATTACAAGTGAGCGTCACCATGCCTGGCTAGTTTTTGTATTTTTAGTAGAGACGGGGTTTCACCATGTTACCCAGGCTGATCTTGAACTTCTGACCTTGTGATCCGCCCGACTCGGCCTCCCAAAGTGCTGGGATTACAGGTGTTGAGCCACTGTGCCCGGCCTAGGGCTCTTTAATCTGTGGGTGGTGGAGATAGCTGGAACTCTGGTTTCTACTGCTGGAGTGGTGTATTCCTCTCTGTCCAGGGCTAGTTTGAATGCTCCTTCTGTAGGAACTAGCAGAATTCTGCCCTGCATTGTTTTCTGCCGTGACAGGGCAGTTCTGAGTTCCAGTGCAAAGTCCCAGATTTGCTTCACTCTCACTCCCCCAAATATGCAAACTCGCTTTCTCCGATTCTCTCTCCCCATGTTTCCAGGGTAGATGGGGGAGGGGTGGTATAGGCAATATGAGACTGTCTTTACAACCCTCTTCAGTGCCTCTTTCCTTGATATAATATTAAAACCAGGTAGTGTGATTGCTGACCTGATTTTGGCCCTTATGAAGGTGTTTATTTTGTTTGTGGATAGGTGTTCAATTTGGTGTTCCCACATGGGGATGACTGCTGAAGCATTCTATTCTGCTATCTTGCTCGAAATCTCTCCTGGTCAGATATATTTTAATTGGACACCTTCACTAGTGCTCTATTTCAACATAAAAACAAAGGGTGTTAAACATCAGTCTGCACTGCACTCCAGCATGGGTGACAGAGTGAGACTCTGTCTGAAAAAAAAAAAAAATCCGTCTGACATTTATCATGACAAGTAACTGAGCTCTTGGTGAACATATGTGATGTCAGCATTATTCATTCTGTTTCTGTTGATAAATACAATTAGTGCAAATTAATTCTGGTCAGACAAAAGTTTTCAGCAAATAAATATGATTTTTACTCTTGGTTTTTATCATTAAAGTCATATGAAGTTTGCTAAAACAGATAATAACACCCATGACAATGTTAAGAAAACTAGCAATGAAGGAGTTAATATAGTATTCACTGCATGATAAATAAAAGTAATTTTAATTCACCTCAGTTGTTTTTCTATTAGCTTTACTGATTTTCTATTAGCTTTATTGATTACTTTTTGTAATTTATTCTGAGTATTAAGGAATAATACCTCCTGATACCCAATTAGGATAAACAATATTTTAAAACATTTCTAAAACTATTACTTTATTAGGTGGTCCCAATAATTCTGTATTCTTTTCATCTTTTTTCATGTAAAGATGCTAGTAAATAAAGAAATAAGCAGCAGCATACTTACTCTAATTTTTTTATTCTAAGTATAAATTTACATTATATTTGTGACCTATAAATTCAAAGTTTATCTTAAAAGGCTGCAGTCATCATCATTGATAATAGTTATGTTTTAAATATATAATATTCTTCCTTTCAAAGCAATATACTGTCATCTACCTTGAAATTTTTCTATAAAATATAAAGTTTGCTTTTTGTGTGTTTTTCTTTTTAGTTTAAATTCTTTCTACTCAAATGTCTAGCATGATGACTATCTGTCACATCATAATCCACTGTAGCTATTCTGAGTAAAATATAAATGCATAAAGTACAAAAGGGACCCATCAGATTTTCTGCAGTGCCAGAGAATCAGGCAAAGTATCTACATAATCAAGAAAAATGACCAGATTACACCACTTGTCAGCCACCCTAAGGAGCAATCTACTTCAGCTGGGGATGAGCATAAGAATAATAGCTACTAGTATACCACTGCTACCGAGACTTTTGCCATTGCTAAATCTGAATTCTTGTGGTCTCTCAATCTCCACTACACTCATGATAATGGTTTCTGTGTAGTATCTCTTTTATGTCCCTCTCCTCCTAATCAAATCTCATGGGATGTGTGCAAACTGAAAAGTGTACTGAAGTTATAGAAAAATGTTTAAAATGTCCTTAGTGGTCAAAAAGCAAGAGATGATTTGTTCAAAATAACGAAATTTGATAGAGCTTTAGATTTTCATAAACTCTAAAAATGTTTTTTGAAAAGTATTGATGACATCACGGTGTCATAATGCTGACAGTAGGAGCAGCAGCATTGTAGTGAGCATATTAGCTATGAAATAGCCACATTAGTGGTGATGCCTGGGCAAAGACAATAATGAGTGAGGTGGTAATGCCACTACTGATGACATGGAAAGTGAGGTGCTAAATGTGCTGTTCATGGGCGTCATTGCCCTTAGCTCAGGCAACAATATCTTGGGCTTTAACACTGACAACTTTGTCATAGACATCAGTAGACTCACCAGCATCAACAAAACAGTTACTTTGACAGTTATGCAGAATGATGCAGATTGTCCTCAGTGGTCAATAGTGAAAGAGTCTCCATGTTTTGAAAGGAGCAAAAGGTATATTGTCCATAGGGTAGGCAGAATTGATGCAGAAAACAATTATTAGTACTTTAAATATGGAAGAGAGCTATTTCTTGAAAAACCAACGGGAGAATTCTGTGAAACTCTAACACCATTTGGAAGGAAATAGAGGGAAATCTAAAGTCCCCCAAAAATAGCTGATATTGAGATTCTATTCTAAACTGGAGGTACAGGAGGTCTAATATTCACATCAATTTCAATGTTTTAAAGTAGCTGCATTCTCATATTGTGAGAAAAATCACTAACAATAAATCACAGAATTAAATTTATGTTTAGCTTGGAAATGGTTAAGGTTTTCATAGAATTACCGATTTTTAATTTTTTTTTAAATAAAATTGAGTCTCACATGGGAGCCTAATTTAGAAAAGAACTAACTGCAGAGCTGCTTTGGATGAAGCAGAGTTTAGGGATGTGGAAAATATCACTCCCTCCATTCATTCCCATCTCTATTGGCTTTTTTTTCTGCCTTCTCTCTCCCTTTCTCCTTCCCTTCCACTGTCTCACTCTCTCCCTTTTCTCTCCTTCTTCTCAAGTTTCTTGAACACTTCCCAGAAGCCACTCTAAAAATTTGAAAAACAATGATATGATGGGATAGAACTGGAGCCTCAAAACTGTAAACTGTCATTAGGTAGAGAGGAAGTATATTTGTTCTAGAGTGGAAGTGAATTCCAACTCAAAATAGAAAAGAACTTTATAATTAACAGAACTTTTTTGAAAATGGAATAGATACTTTCAGCTTACAGGAAGTTACTGATTCCATTGTTCTTTATAAGTCAGATTTAGGGATTCAAAGCTAATGGAAGTAAATTCTAACTTAATACAGAGAAGAATTTTATAATCTACCAAACATTCTGAAAAAGACATAGGTAACTTCATTAGATTAATTTCCTGATGACTGAACATGTTCAGAGACTAGAAATTCACTACTAGTGTTCTAGGGAATTTAAATATCAGTGGAGTGGTTGTCCTTAGAATCTATCATTAAACAGAATCATTCTCTACATCATTTGCCAATCGAGCCTACAATAACTTCCTGCCATGAGCATCAGGTAAATTGGACACTATTTTACAATTATTCATATATGTTATATATTTTTAGATTCCAATGACATTATAAACTCCATATTGCTTTTTTTCTTCTTTTATTCCATGAAGACCTTTATTTCTTTGAAATCAACACCTTTAAAAGTAATAATTCTTGGTTTCTAGATTATTCCAAGAAAAATGAACTGCAGGTAGAAGGAAAATATAAGTGTGTTTGCTCATGTACATTGTACTGCATGTGCATACTTTTTATTCCTATGCAAGATCTTCCAAAGGAAAGATAAAAGAACATTTGTGAGCAACATAAGATAAGCTAGGAAACACTGAAGCATTAAAGGATAACATCAACTTAATTTATAAACCAATTCAGGAAACCCTTTAATTCTGAAAGTAATAGATACAGAGTTACCAGGTTACAAAAACACATTATGTCTTTCCTACTTTTGGAAGATAAGGATGTTTTTCCTTCTGTGATTACACTGCACTTTTTTTTTTTAGTAAAAAATGAAAGAAAACCCTAATTCCTTATGTACATCATCTTGGACTACTATAGTACATTTATTTCCTTGTGAATTACTTTATAAAATAAATATATTTTACATAAAAATATATTATTTATTTTATGTAAGAGATAAGAGGAAACATCACAAGATAGAAAAGTTGTGAAAGAAACATAATGGAACAAACGTTTTACTTATTGACATAGAACTTTTGTTGATTTAAATTACAACAATCTAAGATTCTATGATTGACATTGTTTCTTTGAAGTGGTCTTCTTAACTCTGCCTTTAACCTTATTTCACAAAAAGTAAAAATTATTATAGCTAATATTTTGCTTTACATTGATACTAAGTATTTCCTGTTTCTGGCACATATTTGTACAGAATTGAGATTGAAGAAAGGGCCTTGCTAAGAAACTAAGAAAATAATGAATGAAACTTCTTTACAGAATGAGCAGTCTACATCTATGAGATTAGGACCATTATTTTAAATATTAATACTCTAATATGCTTCTGCCAGAGGGCAATTAATTTGTGTTATATTAGAGGTATCATGGAATAGCACAATGGAGATCAATTTTATACTTGAGATGACTTTTTCAATAAAGGTAATTAAATAATTATCTACACCCACAGAGGCTGATGCACCTAGACAGAAAATATATCTTCTAAATATGATGCATATATATAACAGTGGGCTTAGAAAGAGAGAGAGTTAGAGAAAGAGAGAGAATAAAGAGGTATCTGACTCTTTACAAAAACAGAGAACCTTTGCTGATTTTGATTATAATGCCATGCTCATCGAAACTAGGTCAACTTTCTCTCAATAAAGATTCCTTGTGGCTATGATAGTTGCACAACCTGGCTGTCCATAGGGCTAGAACTTAATTAAAAAAGGATAGTGAGAAAAATTTCGAGGTGGATAAAGTGAGGGAGGGATAGGGAAGGAGTTTAGGAGGAGAATGTTTTTGTTGTTGTTGTTATTGTTTTAATTTATTCTATTATTGTAGATCTGAGTTCATCACTGACTGGCTACAGGCCAGTGAGCATCATAGCAGAGCATATGCTTCTCCCTGTTTTCTCAATCTCATAAAAATCTATTTTTATGCCCAAATTCTCCCAGTGTTGCCTTGTTTCCTGGTAACTCTTACGTTTAACACTGGAGGTAATTTTTCTAAGGTTTTTAGTAAATTATTTCTCTGGTTTTAAAACTGTGTTCCACGAGTCCTTGAGTTACACTGAGATACCTCAGGAATCACCTAGTGAGGAAAGGGGAAGGCCAAGGATATGAGACTTTGTTTCTTTTGAAATAAAAATTTGTAGAAAAAAGTTTTAACTTTAACAAATTTTTAAAAAGTTGTTAAGTTAGCTCAATTCTTTTCAATGATGTTAACACTTTCTAAAAACATTGCAAAATATTTTGCAATTTATTTCTATTCTACAAGGTATTTTATTTAATCCTTTAAATAAATCACTTTATTTATTTATTTATTATAAGTTTCAATGACAAAAAAACTCCCTAAAAAAATAAGGACATCATTTATCCTTCACATTTCACTTGTGTGATCCTGCCTGGATAAAATTAGAAAAATGTTCAGTGAAGGTTAATATGTCAGAGAAAATTGCTTTTGTGTAATGGAAAAAAGGCCATTCTTACATTACAAAATTACTTTATGTGGGGTCATTAGAGATAATACTTGCATGAAAATAAATTATGCATCACTATGTTATAATGTTCTAAAGACTAGTGAAATGGAACAGAGAAATATTGAGGACCACACCTTAAATTGTGAGACAACCCTGGCAGAGAGAAGAAGCTTAAATTGCAGAGAAAATTTGGAGCAGAGAAGGGATATAATTTGGAGTCATCCAGGGTGATGCAGAGCCAAAGCATCTAAACACTAGCCTTACTCTTGTGTATTACCATCATGACCCTGGAGAGCTAAAATAAAAGGGTTGTTTTAGAGAAACTTAGAACATGGTGTGGGAGAAAATCCTTTTCTCTCTGCAATCTAACAGTTTTCAAATTGCATCTCTAGTATCATGAAGTCACACTCTGTACCACCCTCCAATTTCATTCAGTTACCTCAGTCCTCCCTAAAATGCACAAGAAAAAAATGATTCCTATATGTAGCTTCCCCACTGCACCTCTTCTTTCTACTTCCTGCCCGCCACCAGACATGTTACTTTAGATGTTGAAGAGTATGTTGATAAGTAAATACCACAGACTTTAGAAGTAAATAAATATATTCCAACTGTAGCTCTGCCACTTTACAGATATCATACATGAAGCAATGGAAGAGGATTTATAGTTCAGGGGTTACACAATTAAGGACTCCAACCAGACTGATTTCATTCCAATACAGTTTTGCCACTTACTAGATTTCATTGACAAACTGATTCACATCTGTGAGCCTCTTCTTTTCTTCTCAAAGTGGGTGGTAATGATAACTGTTCTTATTTCATAGGGTTCTTGTGAAGAATAAATTACATACAGCTCTTAGAACAAATCTTGATACCTAGCAGTTGATCCATAAATATTTTCTATTACTATATAAGTACATATTCTTATTTTGTCAGTTTCCTCAAATTATAAAATATAAAAACATAACTTATCTTGTGTATGATTAAATAAGATATCATATAAAAATTCTCTATCAATCATTTTAGTAGATATTTGGACAATAATTATTACTTCCTTAATCCTCTAATGGGTCTATTACTAATCTCTCAAAGAATACCCATTTTTTTATAACTTTAAGACTTTGCAAATCCCCCTGTTTGTCAATTTCCTTCTTGTTTACAGATTTGAAGATGAGTTACTAAAGGTACAGACACTATTATAAAGACAAAATAAGTGACTTGCAATTTATATGTCCTCTTGTTAAAGTATACCATCTGTAGATTTTAAATTTAATTCTACATTAGTTGTGTTTGATTTGATTGTAAATAATAGAAAACTACTCCAACATAGGGAAAAATGAATTTGTTGGAAGAAAATCCACTCACAGACATGACAACATGAATCACTAGAGAAGGCAGAAACCAAATGCCTCTCAGGATCTCTGTAGCAGAAAGAGATGGAATAGGAGAACTATGTTTGAGTTCAAATATAGCTCAATTTTTGTGTCTTTTATTTCAAGTTTCAGATTCCAGAGAACTATATTTTATTTGAACTAGCTTGAGTTGTGTGTTTCTAGCTCCAAATTAATCAGTAGAGGAAGGAGAAGCTAGCTATCGGAAAGGACCATTGTTAACAGGCAGAACAACAATATGTGTTTACCCCATATTCCCCTTCTGTTTTATTTTATCAGCTGTATTGAGATATAATTTATGTATAAAAATTCCACCCAGGTGAGTATACAATTTAATGATTTTCAGTCAGTTTTTAAAGTTGTGCAACCATCAGCGTTATCCAGAACATTAAAACATTTAGAACATTTCCATCATCCCTAAAATGTTCTGCCAGTCACTCAGTCTGCAGTCTATTTCTGCCTCTAACTCCAGCCAGACCCAGGAAATCACTGATTTCTTTCTGCCTATGTAAATTTGCTTTCTAATTTTATGTAAATACAAGTTTATAATATGGAGACTTTTCCCCTCGTTTCTTTCACACAGCATGATGTTTTTGATGTATGTCCAAGATGTAACATGAATCAGTATTTTCTTCTTTGTATTGCTGAATAGTATTCTATCGTATAGATATACCACATTGTGCTTATCTACTTTCCAGCTGATGTTGAATTAGTTCCAGCTATTACAAACAATGTGGTTATGAACATTCATATACAATCTTTATGTGGACATACATATTCTTTTTTCCTTAGGTAATATGTATAAGAATGAAATTGCTGGCTCATATGATGAGTTTTTGCTTGACTATTAAAAAAATGAGGAAAATCTTTTTCCAACGTGGTTATATCAACTTACATTCCCACCAGCATTATGTGCAAGTTTTCGTTTCTCCACATTCTGGCCAGCACTTGGCATTATCTATCCTTCTGATTATAGCCCTCCTAGTGGGTGGATAGTGTTATCTCGTTATGCTTTTAATTTGGGTTTCTCAAAAGAGTAACGATGCTGAGCACCCTTTCTGTGTTTATTAACCATTTATATTTTTTAATACATGCTTATTAAATCATTTTATCATTTTAATTGAAACATTTGACTCTTAATATTGAATTTAAAGTTTATTTATATCATTTGCATCTATTTTTATATATTTTGTAAGACATAAAGTGTATTTGATTTATATTACTGCATAACCAATTACCACAAATTTAGTGGCTTTAAACAACACATGCATCTATTATCTCACAATTTCTATGAGCCAGAAGTTTGGGCATGACTTAACAGGGTCCTCCACTCAATCTCACTAGGCTGTCATCAACATTTGGACAGGGCAGCACTTTCCTCTGTAGGCTCAATCAGGGAAAGATCTACTTCCAAGCTTATTCAGGTTGTTGGAATTCTTCTTCTTCTTCTTCTTTTTTTTTTTTGATATATGACTGAGGGTTCCAGCTTTTTGCTGGCCATTGTCTGGAGGCTTTCCTAAGGTCCTAAATGGTATCCACTGTTCCTAAAGGCTACCCATGATTCCTAGAGGCTGTCCATAGTTGCTTGACACTTGGGCTTCCTCATCATGGCTGCTTAGTTTATCAAGCTAGCAAGGAGAATCTCTTACTGCATTCTGCTAAGACAAAGTCTTACATAACATAACTAATGATTGGAGTGATAGTTCATCGTTTTGCCATATTCTGGGTTACAAGCAAGTCAAAGCCCTACCTACATTGAATGGGAAGGGATTGAAGAAAGACATGGGCACCCGGAGGAAGATATTGGGTGTCACATAGGGTCAGTTCACCACAAATCACTTACAAATACAATACATTCTCCCAGTTTGTATTTTGTGTTTTAATTTACTTAAAGGTGTCTTTTGAAGTACAACGGTGTCTTTTTTTCTCTTTCTTTTTCTTTTAAGGTTTATGCTTTTGGTGGTATATCTAAGAATTTTTTTCTTTCAATTTTTTTTTCCTTTTTTTTTTTTTTGAAGACAGAGTCTCACTCTGTAGCCCAGGCTGGAGCACAGTGGTGACATCTCAGCTCACTGCAAACTTTCACCTTCTGGTTTCAAACAATTCATGTCCCTTAGCCACCTGAGTAGCTGGGATTACAGACATGTGCCACTATGCCTGGCTAATTTCTGTGTTTTTTTCTTTTTTAAGAAGATATGGGGTTTTGCCATGTTGGCCAGGCTGGTCTCGAACTCCTGGCCTCAAGTTATCCACCCCCTCAGCCTCCCAGAGTGCTGGGATTACAGGCACGAGCCACGGCACCTGGCCTATCTAAGGAATTTTTACCCACCTCAATGTCATGAAAGTTTTATCTTTGTCTTCTTCTAGTAGTTTTAGCTTTTACATTTAAATGCTAAGTTAATTCACTCAAAATATATCATTATTGATTTGGTAAAATTTTAGGCCATCATTTTGCTCTTTGCTTTCTATTTTATTTATGATATTTTTGTTCTTCTCTTTCTCTTCTAATGTCTTATTTTGTGTCAAATATACTTTTTCTCTACCATTTAATTTCTTCTGTCATTTTAATCCCTTTTCTAGCTATTTACTTAGTTTTTGCTAAAGGGTTTAAAAAAGATCTTAACTTATTATACTCTACTTCAGAATAATACTGACCTCATTCTGGTAAAAATATAGAAATGTTGCTCCAATATATTTTCTCTTTTTCCTCCTCTTTTTTTTTCTTTATTGTCATTCACACTACATCTATATAATTTCATAAAAGAGTATTATGTTTATTGCCCTGTAGATTGTTATAAGAAGTTAAAGAAACCAAAAATATAATATATATAAATGTTATATATTTTTTCTTTTTTTTTTTTTTTTGAGACAGTCTCGCTCTGTCACCCAGGCTGGAGTGCAGTGACACAGCCTTGGCTCACTGCAACTTCTGCCTCCCAGGTTCAACCAATTCTCCTGCCTCAGCCTCCTGAGTAGCTGGGAATACAGGTGCCTGCCACCACGCCTGGCTAATTTTTGTATTTTTAGTAGAGATGGGGTTTCAACACGTTGACCAGGCTGGTCTCGAACTCCCGACCTCAGGTGATCCACCCGCCTTGGCCTCCCAAATTGTACTTATGCTACATTTACTGTATCTGATGTTCCTCATTTCAACATATGAATTAAAATCATTTCCTACTGTCACTTTCTTTTAGCCTGACAGATATCCTTTACTATTTATTTTAACACACAATTGCTGGTAAAATGTTATCACAGTTTTTCATCTGAATAAAATATTATTTTACCCTCACATTTTAATGATGAATTTTCTCAATATATAATTCCTAGTTGACAGGTACTTTTATTCCACTCTTTAAAATGTCTTTCCGTTACTTTTGGCCCTCCATTTTTGCTAATAAGAAGTCAAGCACTAATGATGTCTTTCCTTTCCTGTATATGATGAGCTATTTTTTTTCTTACTGCTTTCAAGAATTGCTTTTTTTCTTTGGATTTCACTAGCTTGACTATGATATATCTCTGTGTGTGTATCTTGCTCAGTTTATTTTCTTCTGCTTATTTGTATGCCTGGATTCCTAGAGGTTGCCCCTGTGTCTGCATATTCTGTGTTCAGCCAAAAGTTGGCCAGAGTATGCACTCAAACAACTCAAGCCAGTAAGGATTCCACTCTCTAAAGATGGATCTATGTGCTTGTAGTAAAGAACATTCAGATTCCAGGCCATTTTCAGCTCAACTTTTCCCCTTAATTGTAGATTCTGCCAATCAGTTTCAATCTCTCTATCTCTCTCTCACCGTGTGTGTGTGTGTGTGTGTGTGTGTGTGTGTATGTGTTTGTTATTGGCTTCATCAACCAGGAATGTGGGGTGGCATGGGCTAACTACACAACGTTGTTTGCATGGCAACAACTCCTGTCAACCTGAGATACATGAAGAACTTAACAAGCTTTCCTCGTATCCCTAACTTCTTGGTCTTTCCTACAAAATCCTCTGCTAGTCTGACAGTCTGCTACCTGCACCAAACAGAATCTAGTTCAGGCTAGCAGAACTGCTGGTCCTCCTTATTTACTTGTTCATGAGAGCACTTCTGGAACTGACAAGATTCTAAATCAAGTGAGTTTCCCTGGTACCAGCGCTAAGACTATTGGTTTCATAGCCTGTCTCATCCAGGTTGAACTGTCTAGCAGTAGAGCTACAGGTGAGGCATAGGAATGGTCTTCATCAAGAAAACTATAAAATTGCCCTATATCTGCCCATGCTTCAGTGATTCTCATGAATAACACTTCTCTCTTCATTTGCATGCATATCTTTGGTTAATTTCCAGAATGCTAAAATAATTGTTTTGACACTTTCATTCACCTTTATAGTTGCTTTTTGAGGAGATTGTTCAACTTTTCATCCTGTTGGATGGAAATGCTACATACTGTTAACAAATTAAAGTCTAATTAAACCGATTAAAATCTAATTAAACTTAAAGTCTAATGAACTAATTAAAGTCCATGACTCTATTCAGATTGTTTCTATAATACAAAGAATGTGAGTGACTGGGAATTGGGAGCCCAAGGAAAAATTATGGGTAGCCAAGATGAAATGCCAACAACAAAGAATTCCTACAATGGCAGTCATTTTTCTTATAAAAGAAATGTGGCCCATTAAAAACCATGTGCATAATTTTATTGGTATTACATTCTTTAAATTATGTTTTCTAGCTACTTCTTCTTGGTATATAAATATGTAACTGGTTGTTGTATGTTAACTTTTTATATAGCAAATTGTCTTCAATTCTTTAGTTTTTAAAATAATTTCAATAATTTTCTTCAGTTTATTTGAGATTTTGAGTTTATTTGAGTAGGCAATTATATTATTTTCAATAGTATATGATTTATAATATTTGGAGTCAGTTTTACATTTTTTTAACATTCTTATCATTGCTTACTCCATTTTGTCTTAACATGCTAGGTATAATATCTTTTTGTATAATGTTAAATACACATGGCGTAAGCAAGTATGCTTTTTCCTGACTTTAAAAGGATGTCTCCAACATATTATTAAATATGATACTAATTATAAATTTATGATACTTTTATTTTCAGGGAAAATAAGTTATATTTTCTACTCATGGTTTTTAAGACATTTTATCATGAATGGATGCTGTATTTTATTTTTTTAACTATAATAGCTAAAATACTTATATGCATTTTCTTTTGATTTAATGTGTTAAACTATATTTTCTAATGTTAAGCTATCGTTGCATTATTTTGTTTAAATAGAAATGTTCTATGGCATATTTTTATACAGTTTCTAGATGTCTATTTTATTTGTGAACATCTTATTTAGGAATTACATCTATAAACATTTATATAGAGCATGTTGGAGATTTTTTATTCTTTTAATATCTTGTACTACATGAAGTTAATACTAGCCTCAAAAGGTTAATTGATTTTTGTAATATCTGTAAGGGTGTACATGTATATGCTTTTTGATTAGTTATTAGGTCAAAGACCAATTTAAATTAGGTGAATAGTTTAGAACATTCTGAAGTTCCTGGCAGAGGAACAGTCATCTCTGCAAAGAGATCTGTGACCTCACAGAATATAAAAAGATTTCAGACTCTCTCTCTCTCTATATATATATATATATTTATGTATATAAAATTATTAGTTATTACTCTGTAAATCATATATATTAGATGATTAATTGCCACTTTGTAATCTTATTTTTAAATTAACTATATCTGAAATATTTTTGATGAGTGACATATAGAGGTATATATTTTAAAATACTGATAAAATGTACTTAATGGTTGGGTCTTCTCAACTTTTCAATTGACTTATTGCTTATTTGATGCCCTATTTATTCTAGAAATTGTGAATTTCTCTAGGATTTTACAATGATTTGCCTAAACTATTTTAGTATATTGTTAATAATTTAATCTGTGGTTATTCTTTGCTCATTTTTTTTCTAATATAGTTCATTAATTACTCCCTTTCTCTCTGTCTCATCAACTATGTCTTTTTTTTCTATCTTATTGATACATTCAACAGAACAGACTTTGGCAGTTTGGAGCCTCTTTTTTGTTTTTTATTTCATATTTTAGTGATTAGAATGTAAGACACCATCTTGCTAAATGCTTTTTCAGCTGTTTTTCATGGATTTTGATGTCATATTCTTATTATCTTGCTTTTTACAGTATTTTTAAATTGTTATTATTGTGTTTATTTAGACAAAGAACCATATAACAATATTCACTTTCTAATTTAAAGGTGCATTGTTTTATATACACATAAATATTTGGATAAATTTTGCTGATTTATAAAACGTCCAATATGCATATTAATTTGGATGCATTTGTTCTGATAATTAATGAGATTTGATGTTTCATAATTTTCCACTATGGTTATGTAATCATCTATTTTTCTTTCAATTGTATCTATTTTTGTCTCTAATCTTTTGATACTTGGTGAGGTGATAGATAGGTCTATCTATCTACAGAGACCTATAGATAGATAGGTCTCTTTCCAGAGAGAATTTCTCTCTGCCACGTACTTCAGAATGCTATAAAATATTAACCTAATCCTAATTTAAATTGATCATTGACTTAATAACTACTCAAAAATTGTAAACCCAAACCAGTATCTTTATGAGGCCAGGCATATCATTATAAATGGCTAACGAAATTTTTCTTTTTCTGTTTTTAAAATTCTGCCTTGGATGTGAGCTGATACAGATATATATTATTGCCTGATGTTGCCTGTGGGAAGACATTTTAAAATTACACTTTCCTAAAGTTGAGCCTTTCCAATTTTCTTCTTTTAGGTAAAACTCTTATTTCTAAGTAACCACCTTAGACACAACCAAAGCCTTGCTTCCTTTCACTTATACCAAAATTAAAACCCAATATTTCAGCTACTAAACTTAGTAAATGCCCTCAAGATACCCATGGTCTTAGGCCTCACTTTAGCTGTGTTTTTCAGCTTCTTTTCCATTTTATATTTCTGGGGATTTCCCTCAATATCTTGCAATGTCAGCTACGCATTTAGAAACAGCATTTCTATGTATTCCGTGTCAATGGTTTTCCCCCCTCCCCCAGGGTGTATAGTCAGCACTATGGCTGGGAATGAAAATCATAATATAGTTTTTCAACAAGAAATAGAAAGTTTTCTCAAACTATAAACATAGCTGTTTTTTTTAAGCATAAATCCTTCCAAGTTGCAGACATTATCAGAAAGAAAATACAAGATATAGTTAAGGCATTTCATAGTGTATCACTGTTTATTTAAGCAGGATACTTACTTCATAAAACTGGACACTTCCTTCTTTGCTAAATAAGTTTTGATTGTTATTATTCAGATGTATTTTCCCATCATTGAGAAAGGAGTCTGCTGTGAGTCTGGGGTAGAGTGATAAATCCTTTGGGTGTTGAATTATCAAACATTTAGCAAATGAATTAGCAAGTGGCATCCACATTCAGGAAGGCAATAAAACACTATCTGATGCAATGCATAATACTTCTGAGAAGATGACCAAATAGATGGTTTAATGAAAGTTAAACATAACTTTTGCGTGCCTGCTTATTTTCTGTGAATAGTTTTACATCCACAAGCAATTGAAAGGTGGAGCTCTCAGAGTGAAACTTTACTCCTTTTTGCACAATCTCTCAATGTCTCTCATAAAGTAAATCTTCTACATTGGTATTCTGCATTATCCCAGCTGTCACTGTTGTAGTAAAGACTCTCAAAATCTTTCATGGAAACAGTTGCAATCACTTTCTAAATAGCCTCTGTCATAAACGTTGATGACTCTCATAAATGTCGATGACTCTCATAAATGTCATCAACACCAGGCTATCTGGAAGCTATTTTCTTACTATTTTATATCTCTGTAAGATATTAATAGTTCTTAAAATTATATCTGCTAACACATTTGATTGATGTTGAATTAATTCAGTATTAATAGATTCTTTTATCTCAAAAATTGTCAGAATATTCACTAGGCTAATGAGTGTGGTAAGTTGAATATAGATATCTCACACATATTTAACTACTGAACCTGATTTTTGAGAAGTTTCTACAGGATCTTCTACTTCTCTGCCTTGAAGCATTTCATCATGCAAAACATATTGTGGAGCACTTTATTTTACTTTCAACCAAATCTCATCATATTAATCTCCAGAGTTAAAAATCCTTAATAATTTTCCATTTTCTAAAAATATGGGATAAAGCCTTTCACACCTTGCCCCAAATACTTAACCAAAATAATTGTTATTCCCCATTTTCTGCCACTACCAAAGCTTGTTCCTTTTTTCTTCGTCCCCAAAAAATTATTCTCTCATTACTATTTGCTTTTGAACATACAGCTCCTTATGACTGGATATTCTTTAGCTATTCTATTACGGCCAAACTTTTAAGTGCCATCTTTCAAGTACCCCTCAAATATTACCCGCCTTTTAAAATTTACCTTACGTAACCAGACACAGTTTTTGACACAATTATTTTCCCACTCTCTGGGAATCCCAACTTATACAGTTTATGTGTCTTTAAAGCAAGTATCAGGCTGGCAGTAAATATTGTACACCTATTATTTTCTCTTACAATGTGAACTCCTATACAGCAACTTCCTATTCATCTTTGCACAAAATGATGCTAAAATGGGATTCTTTCTCCGTTTTAGCTGAGATCCTAAGAGATGGTGGATATTTTTATATTTTAAAGACTATTTTAAGCAACCAATATTTCATTCACATAGGAAGTGGATAAAAATGAGTTTTCTGACCGTCACCCATATTCTGGCTATGTAAGTAAATCTGATGTTTCAACAAAGATGTAGAAATTTGGATTTCTTATTTTTGCATAGAATATTGCCTCAAATAGCAATCCATATTTCAATAGGGAAAGCAAAAAAGGTTACTTTTTTCTTTTCACTTTAAGCCTGGCATTAGAGACTACAAGGAGGCCATTTGAAGAATTTAATATAAGTCTTCTTCCATTATAAGGAAAACTATAAACTGTTACATGCATAGGAAATACAAAGGGTGAGAATTTGACTGATATTTCATGTGGCAACATATAAAGGATTGTGTTAAAATAAACAAAATTTCTGCAGATGATGGTTCAAATGTGTGTTTCCCAAAAATCAGATGTGGCCATGTGAGGAAAAAAAAGGAACTTTCCCATAACTGTCTTTTGACTTGGAAGACTTCCTAGACTCTGCGTTCCCACAGAGACCATTGAGTATAAGTGGACTGCCCAGATAAGAGAGCCATGGGAAAAAACAAGAGGCCAGCAGTACAGTAGAGTTATTTACTTACTGTAGAGTGCAGTAGGTAAGTGATGATGAGCAATTTGAGGATATCTCCAATAAGCCCACGAAATGCTCTGAAAGAGAAAAGGTGTTCTTCAGTATCTGTCCCAGCAAAAGGAAATCAAAGTTCAAAACATTACTAATCTAATACGATTTTTCCTGGATAACCAACTCTCTCTTTTCTGGGCAGATGTTACTGAGTTCAACAATTGTGGAAGACAGTGTGGCAATTCCTCGAGGATCTAGAGCAAGAAATACCATTTGACCCATCAATCCCATTACTGGGTATATACCCAAGGGATTATAAATCATTCTACTATAAAGAAACACGCACACATATATTTATTGCAGTGCTATTCACAATGGCAAAGACTTGGAGTCAACCCAAATGCCCATAAATGATAGACTGGATAAAGAAAATGTGGCACATATACACCATGGAATATTATGCAGCCATAAAAAGGATGAGTTCATGTCCTTTGCAGGGACATGGATGAAGCTGGAAACCATCATTCTCAGCAAACTAACACAGTAACAGAAAATCAAACTCTGCATGTTATCACTCCTAAGTGGGAGTTGAACAGTGAGAACACATAGACACAGGGAGGGGAACATCACATACTGGGACCTGTTGGGAGGTAGGGGGTTAGGGGAGAGATAGCATTAGGAGAAATACCCAATGTAGATGATGGGTTGATGGGTGCAGCAAACCACTATGGCAAGTGTATACCTATGTCCAAACCTGCACGTTCTGCACATGTATCTCATAACTTAAAGTATAATTTTTTAAAAAGCTGGCTGAAAAAAATGAGGAAGAAATCAATCATGACCCTCATTTCCCACTGCTGACAAAAGATGAAAGGAGGAAAGCATTACATTCAAATAAAATTTGTAGATTTGACTATTCCTGAAATGGGATTATATTTACAATCAGAAGTGATAAGAGGAATTTTTATCATCTAAGCATGACTGCATAAAACACAAAACTTGCCCTAGATTTTATCTAAGAGTCAGGAGAAAAAACTGATAGAGGAAAGAAAAGAGAGAATAATAATCTTTGTTTCAATTCCATCCTTGAGACTTGATTCATGGAAGTTATTTCTGTAATGTCTGCATCCAATATACAGTATGATATATAATAAGCACTCAAGAAATTGTCAATTGACAGTTATTTTCCTTCTACAGAATGTACACCAAGTCTCTGTTCAAACAATAGAAGCCATTTTAAAATTAAGAAAATGTTATTCGTGTACACTAAAGAAGAACCAGTGGTTTTTATAAGAACCCTAATGGAAAGAATCCCTAAATCTTAAATGGAAGTGATTTCTGCACCTAATCTTGAAAACTATAGCTATCTAACCATTTAAAGAGTGTATTTTATGAGCTAAAATCAGTGGTAGCTGTCATGAATATAAACCAGTAAGTAAGTCACAGTCTTAATTAAAGAAGTTTATGAACTGTTGGGGAAATGAGATATATAGAAAAATAAGTTTTAAAAATACCGTAGGTTCATTGTTTTAGAATGCATTGTGCTTAGTGTGGGTACAAAAGTGGAGGTAATCAATACTGTTAATATATCAAGCCATGCTTTGTAGATTTTATTACATTTGAAATAGGTATGAAAAGATAAGTAAGAATATGAGAAATGTAAATTAAAATGTTGAAAAAATATTTGAAGCAGATAATCTAAAAGGAAACTAACTACCTTGCCTGTAAATCAGGAACACATGGAGGTATACAGTGAAGGAAAGGATGAACTAGGAACAAACCTGTTAACCAAAAGAAAATTGCCTGTACAACTTTGGCACTGAATGGAGAGAAGTCATTCATGAGAGTGTGTAACTATAATCTCGTCATTTCATGCATTGTTGGACTGAATTCATACTCTGTGGGTCATAAAGCATTATTTTGCTTAAGGACATAAAACATTATTTTAAACATGAGTAAAGGGCATGCTTACTCATGTTACAAAAGAGATGTGGAGAACACCAATAAGCCTTTTAGAAATAAAAATAAAATGAAATTAATAATATTACCAAAAAATAAAACCCTCAATGGATGGACTTAAAGGGTGATTTTAAAAGCTGAGTGAACAGTTAGTTAATTGGAAGACATAACTTTAAAAAATCTATGTTTAATACAATATAAACACACAACCATAAAAACTATAAAAATAAATTTATTAAAATTGTGGATAAAGTGAGGTCTCACATAGGTTCAAACAGAATTGCAGAAAGAGGAAATAAAGGATGGCAGTACAGGTAGTATTTGCAGAGCCTATAAGTGAGAATTTTCTAGTACTAATGAAAGCTCCTCTTAATCAGGAATCCCAGTGAATCCCAAGTAGAGTAAAAACAACAAATCCACAACTTAATGAATTGGGAAGACCTTAAAGTACACAGAAAGAAAAGAAATAGTACAGTCAAATAAATAATATTAATTTTCAGTACAAAAGTGGAAGCTATATGAGAGGGTATTGTCTTCAACAAAATAAGATAAAATAAATAATACATAAAAATAATCAACACACTATTTTCTAAAATTAGAGTAAAAAACATTTTTATACTAATAAAAACAAATTTTTCTACCAACAGATTCTTATTAAAGAAAACGCTAAAAGGCATACTTCAGAGTAATGGAAAGTGTTTTCTAGTCCAAAGTCTGAAATTCAGGAATATATAATGAACAAAGTTGCAAATGTGCTGAAAAATTTATAAAAATCCTACTTCTGATAACGATACACCAGTAATGTCCGCATGTAGGCCGACTAGAAAGAATATAGTAATCTAAGATGGCGGTAAATAATTGCCAAGCCCCAATTCAAAATCAGAAAAGGAGGGAAATATGGACAGGTAAAAATAGTTGCCTATTAAAGCAAGTTAATATAATATGGATCAAATAAGTTTCCCCTTTCCATTTAGGGACATTTGGCTCCCTCTCTCATCCTTGTTGCCCTCACTTAAAATAAAAATGTGGTTAAGATACTGAAGAACTAAGCAATCCTTTTCAGTTCTAAAAATCAAATGTTGGACAGCAAGACACAAGGCATTTGTACTTTTAAACCCCTCTACATTGAAGTGATCCATCCTAGGAGGCAGTAGTGTAATATTTGCAGAAAGAATGACCCAACTTCATTTTATTTCAGTTCCGGAATTAGATTAAGTTGATATTTGAGTGTGAGTGGCTGGCTCTCAGCCACTAAGCTAAATCTTAAAAATTCAAAAAAGTAATAAGGCTTTGAGAGATGTAAGAAAGATTCAGAAAATTTAAAATTACATTCACCGTAAGATATAAACATCTTAAACTTGTACGCATCTTTGTGGCATCAAAATATATGAAGTGGAAATTTACTAAACTAAAAAGGGAAATAGACAAATAAATAAGCCATCAAGGAAGATTTTATACATCTTGTTATGTAAAATATGATTAATATAAAAATATTAAATAAATACAATTTATATATAGTCAATATAATTAATCACGTGATTATATATAAAAAATTTACCCAATAGATACTTTTAATGAATATATGGAATATTTGTACAGTTGACAATATACTGGACCATTTGACAATGCTCTTTTAAATTCAAATTATTGACATCATAGATAATTTTTTTTAGACACATCCAACAAAACTGGGAATCAATAGTAACAGAATAATTATAAAATACTTGTATAATTGGAAAGCCAATACTAGAAGCTGGTGATGATGAGAAACAACAAAACTCTCATATACTCTTGTTGTGAAAATAGATTCTCTTTGAAAATGTTTGCCATCATCCATGAAAGTTGAGGAAATATATAACTTATAGGTATTTTGATATAGGTAGTATCTACCAAATACACACATCCTATAAATATTTATAATTTCAATATATAGTATTTAAATATAGTATACATTTATATACATAGACAATATACATGAATTACATTAATATAAAATATAAACAATTATAAAATACATAAAATATAAATAGAAAACAAAATATAAATAAATTGTAAACGGAAATGTATTATATGTAAATACAAAATATATTAAAATAAGAAATGTATAAATTCTATAAATTTACATATATAAATTAATATAGCCCATCATTTCCGCTCTTATTTAGCCAACTGAAATGTTTATATATGTACATGAAAAGACAATAAATATTCATGGCTGTATTACTCATAATTGCTTAAAATTGGAAATGATCCAAATATGCAAGAACAAAGGAATGGATAAATAATTTATGGTGACCTTATTAATAAAATATATAAAATGATGAAAATAAAAAATAATACAGTAGAATGAATCTGACAAAAAACAAATCACCAAAAAGCAATAACTAATTATAAAAATTTAAATACAGGTGAAATTAAAGTATAGGTCTATTAAAAGTACTGGATGTCATGGGTCATGCTTGTAATCTCAGCACTATAGAAGGCTGAGATGGGTGGATCACTTGAGGCCAGTAGTTTGAGACCAGATTGGCCAAAATGGTGAAACTCCATTTCTATTAAAAATACAAAAAATAGCGGGTCATGGCGGTGCATACCTGTAGTCCCAGCTACTAGGGAGGCTGAGGCAGGAGAATCACTTGAACCTGGTAGGTGGAGGTTGCAGTGGGCCCAGATTGTGCCACTGCACTCCAGCCTGGGCAACAGAGTGAGACTCTGTCTCAAAATAATAATAATAGTAAGTTTAGAAAAATAATTTGGTTATAAACTAATTGATACAAATGTCAATGTGATTTCATAAATGGGAGTTTATAATTTGTAGGGGGCAAGAAGGAAGCTACTAGGGTGCTGTATGTCTCTTTTTTGTTGTTTTATCATAGTTTTATACAATGATTGTTCTGTTATAATTGAGCTGAACTGATAAGTTTTGTATGCTTCTCTAAGTGTATATTTTATTTTACAGTAAAAGAGTTAAAGCTAAAGATACCAAATTTAAAACATCTCATTGAACTTTGAATAACATTGTAGCTATGTAAAATTATAAAAATAATATTAGTGTCACAGGATCCCTGGGTTGTTGCTTGGCCAGTCAGAAAACTTTGTGGCCAGCATTGTCTCTGCTTGGGTTTTGCTTGTGCCTGCTGGGCTCATTTTGCCTACTCAGCCTGGCAGGCTGCATTCAGCTCATGCTACTGCCCCGAATATCATGCCTGACAAGGGCAAGCCAGGTGTGGAGCAGCGAGGGTGTGTGAGCAAATGTACACAGAGTCTGGTCACTGCTCACAGCCAGGTGCTCTGGCTGTAATGGAAAGGGCAGCTCCAGGCTCTGTCACAGGTGCCAGCTCTGTGCGAGGCTATGGCTAGACCAGATATACCGCAAGTGGCTTCCACCAAGGGCACTAGCATTTGGACAAGGGGAACATGGTGACGCCCAAGAGCTTGGACAGCAGCAACTGCAAAGCTTCAAAGAGGGGTATTACAGTGTGTCATAGGCCTGGCTCTGGGAGCCCCTAGGTCTGCACTCCCAGAAGGGCTTCAGCTCTTTTCTCCTTCTTGATATCCACAATGTGGTGAGCAGAGGGTGTGTTTCCACCCTGTTTATGTTACAGCTCTTTCAGTCCCACCATTCAGCATGACCCAAGTTCTTGTCCCGCATCCAGTAAGAATGAGGTACACGGACCAATGGAGGGTTAGCAAGGTGGAAAGGAACTTCATTGAGAGACAGAATAGCTCTGAGAAGACCTGAAGTGGGTAGCTCCTTTCCGTAGGCAGGTCATACAGGCATGGGTCCAGCTCTTAGTGAAGAAGAGACCTGTGGTGGGTAGCTCCTTTCCACCAGTAGGTCGTCCAGAAGAGTCAAGGAGACCCGAAGTGAGTAGCTCCCTCCCACAGAGGGGCATGAGTTTGTGTGAGTTTGGCTAAGTCTGGGGTTTTTATGGGCTGGGATGGGAGGAAGTGAGTGCTGATTGGTCTGTGGGCAGGCCGAATAAAGCACAGTAAGTCCTCATTCTGGGCCACAGACTCCACCCGAAACTGACAGCCCGCCCCCAGGCTTAAGGCTGTCTCTGCCTTGAAGGTGGGGTTTCACCAGAGATTGCCCCTTTCTGCCCAAGAACCTGTCTGCCTCCTGCCATCAACATGCCATCCATAGCACCCAGGCTGTTCATGCCAAAGGGCACCTGTAGGCCCGTGCAAAGCCGCCCTGGGTCCCTGTGGCCTCCCTTGTGTGCTAGTCAGTGCCCAAAGTCCAGAGGGGGATGAGGCGGCAGGGGGCTGGTGTGTCAGCACGACCCTGAGCTCATGCATACCCAGCCAGGTTGCAACAGTTCCCGGGCTTGGCCACAACTTTGCTTTGTGGCACAGGCACAAATCAGAGCAGGCACCAGGAGCAAGGGAGAGGCCAGGGAGCAGGTACTTCCAAACCTGCGGGGGCAGGGTGGCTTACTGGACCTCCAAGAGAACAGGGATGTCCGGGTTTGAAGTCGCAGCTGGGCGGCTGCAGCCTGTGCACAGCAGTGCAGAACTCCCACCCTGCCCACTCAGTAGCGGGCAGGGCTCCTGCCTGTTCTCAGCCCCCAGTGGCTCTGAGGAGTGCGCCATTTTGGCCACGCCTACCCCACTACAGCAGACATCTTCACAGCAGCCTCTCCAGACAGGCCACCACTGCCATCATTGGGAGGTAAAATCTTTAATAGGTACAATGTTAACTATTTGTTGAGAGGTGTCAACACATTTGTATTATTGGTAAAGTTATTAACTCCAGACTTTTGACACCAAGTCAGGATGGTAACAAAATTGTGATAATCACAAAAAGAAAGAAATAGTATAATTTCCAAAATAAAATAGAATAGAATGAGATTATATATTGAATCAATCTAAAACAAAGCATAGAAAATAAAAATAGAAAAAAAGTGAGTAAAATTAAACACAAAATAAGGTGAAAGAAAAAAGTTATGGATAATAAGAATTAATTTAAATTTGGTAATTATTTCAATTAAAAGAGCTTTAAAAATTGATTCTAAAAATATTGATATGTTATTTACAAAGTTATGTGTTCAACAAAATATACACAAAAGTTAAAAATAAGAGAAAGACAAGGCAAAAGTTAATCAAAAAATTGATATGACTATATTAATAATTAAAATATTAAAGCAATTTTAAGAAAAGATTATTCCTAGATATACAGAGGGTCTTTTGACCTCCTGAAAGATTTTTTAATATTGAATCATGCTTGAATTGCTGTAATTTTTTTCCCCTTCTTTTCACAGGTGTTGAACTTGGGATTTTAAAATATTTTTTCAGATAAACATGAAGTCTAACTCATAAAAATCCTGTTTGTACTTTAACATGATTCAATCATAATATAACAACTCTTACAGAGATAAATTTACAGGACACAGAAGTAGGTAGGAAGCCAATCATGGATAAAATTGTTCTAGTTATCTATTCTTCAGTAACAAATGAACCACATTTCAATAGGAGGGCAAATAAGATCAAACCAATTATTGAAAGTGACAAGTTTTCGGAAGATCATGTAGGAACCAAAATACTATTGTGTTACTTGTAAACGAACTTTGGACTATCCTCTATATAATGGAGATTATTTAAGGATTTTAGTTGCAAAGACACATGTTCAGATTTGTATTTTTATTAGAAAATTCAGAAAGCCTTCTTAGGTGCAAAGACTGGGAAAAGAAAAACCTATGAGGAATATACAGCAATAATCAAGTGACAGGTAACAGACTAAACTAACTTAGTATTCCTTAAGTTTTACATAAGGAGATGGAATTGCAAGATATAAAGAAAACAGAAACACTGAAACTCAGTCATGTATTTATGGGAAGAATGAGTAAAGAGGGAAATAACAGTTTTTAGGTTTCTGACATGGCTGAGTGAACAGATGGTAGTACCATGTGCTCTGATACAGGAGAAGAAAATAGATATTTTTATACATATTAAATTTGAGGATTTCCCAGGAAAACCCAGAAAGAGATGCAATCAGCCAGCTATGAGAACCGGATGCTTGAAGAAATGCAGGGAGAACAATTTTACTGTCATGAAAATGTAGATAGATTTTTTTTTAAAGAACACATTTGATAATCCAGTGAATACATACAGTAAGATTACCAGAGATGAGTATTTCTGTGAACATAATTGGGCAAATATAAGGCAGCTTGCCAAAAATGCCGAGAAAGAACTTTACAAACATGAAAGGAAAATCATAACAGAGAAAAAATGAAGGTCAAAGGGAAAGATAACTTTGTGGAGGGAAGAGTCACTGATTTGAAATACTGTGATGTAGTAAGTGAACAACTGAAAAGATCATTAGTCCCTATTTTACTTTTTTTTTTTCTACCATTTGGAAAATATTGTTGACAATTGTCACAGAAGATTCAAATGGGTTGGAGGCAAAACCTGCATTTTGCTGGATTGAGATGAACATTTAAAGTCAGAAGTCAGAGACTGTAAATGTACATGATAATTTTTCAAAAAGATTTTAAATATACTAAGAGAAAATTATTTTCTCCTCTGTGAATGAATAATTGGATGAATGAAAAATGAAAATCTTTATGGTCATTAGACAATATCTTGCAAGTTCACAGTGAAAATTGTCATATATGATTTCTTAGAAATCTTACAATGAAAAATTCTGTTTCAATTTTTCTGATCCAAACACTCTTCAAATTCTTTAATCTTATAATATTTTCATGAAATTTTTGTAGAAATACCATTCCCCTGGGAAATATTAGCCTTCATATCATTTTCATGATATTAGCACCTCAGCAATGAAGGATGAAAGAAATAAAGTATCTAATAGTGGTTGTTAGGTTGCTGTATGGTTCACTTCTTTTTACGTTGTTTTTTAATGGGAGAAATTTTAGCATGTCAGTAATCTGTGGGGGAAATATACATATACATTGGCAGGTACAGGTTGAAAATATAGGAATGAAATTACCTGGTAATGCAAATTCCAGAGACCAGACTGGCTGAAGAATAGGGATAGGGCAGCTCAATGCAAAGTGAGGCATTTGAATTTTAGGTACTTAACAAAAAAAATGATGGGGGACAAATTTTGGAAAATACTGAGAATTACACCATATGCTGCAAAGGTACAAACTCAAATTTATCTTTGTCTAGGAGTCAGAGTAACAACTGACAAGTTTCTTTATACATAACCCTGAGAAGACAGAACATTAGACCACAAACAAGATAATTTAGCTACTTGTCATATGAGTGAAAAGGCCAAGCAATTAGTTTAATACCAAATACGAATTGCTTGTCTCATTCCTATCCTACTGAAATGTTTCTTACCAATTAGAGAAGCAGTCTCTACCTCATTCCTTGGAAATGTCTCTTCCAGAAAAGTTTTGAATTGGCAAGTTCTCTTTTCAGTTTTCTACCCTGCTTCTCCAGCTCACCTATTCATCCAGCTCTCCTCTTGGTGATTTACTCAGAAGTCTCAGGACTAATTTCTGTGTACTGAACCTGAGCTACCTGCATGTGTATGTACGTATCTATATGTGTTTGAATTCTTAAAGTGAAAAAAACACTTAAATATTAAAATTAAAACAGCTACTTGAATTTCATTTTGGAAAACACTCATGCAGCATTTATTTGATGAATCAAGGCTCTCTGTTCTTTTAACTGATATGGTTCTCATTGAATTTATAAAAAATCTTTATGCAACTTTTATTGAGTGCCACCTCATTTGATCCTAAATGCTAGCACACACTGCCTTTTATTTTAAAAATTTAATTCAAGGCCCATAGCATGAAATTTGGTTTAATTACCTAAATCCATGGATTTTATTTATTTATTTATTTATTTATTTATTTATTTATTAAGGAATGAAGGGATTTATTGAAAATGAAAGTACAGGGCACAAAGGCTCTGTTACAGAATTTTTGAGAGTTTAAATACCCCCTACAGGATTCCATTGGTTACTTGGGGTAAGCTTTATGTAAATGGAGAGGATGAAGTAAAGTTACGAAGTCATTTACTTGGCCTACGCCCTGTGGAGAGGATATTTCCTGTCATAGCTGAAGTGTGAATCGGCTTCATGTTCCCTGCCTTGAGACCCTATTTTCCTGCCTCATCTCCCCCTCTAAGAGATGTGATCCCCATAAATCTTCATGGGAGGTAGAGTTTTGTTTTTGTTTTTGTTTTTTCTGTAACTGCTTCATTATGGCTTGGAGCATAGTCCCCACCTATTGGGGATCACAAAACTCTCACCCTGCTCTGTCTAGTGGAGGCAGGGTAGCTCCTTGATGGCCAGGGGTGGTGTCTTCACCTGAAACTGGCTGGAACCTTTGTTGGATGATCATCTGAAGCTTGATGTTTTCTAGGTGAAAGGAAATGAATTTTGTTGAAAGATTTAATGGGAATTTCAGGGGGTGGAAACCTATGCTGTCAGAAATGTTTGTTACAGAGATTTGCAGGAGAAAAAACAAAACCTGGTCTTTTCTAGAATCTATGTGTTTCCTTAAAGTCTTAGCACAAGCAACACCATTTTGGTTTGGTTCAGTTTGTTGGGGCCTACTGCATGAGCTTAGTCTTTAAATTCTCTTGTGGAAGTTATGTTAAATAATAGAATTAGCTAAACAGAACAGTATCTGTGCAGCTGCTGGCACTTGTGGCCTATGGAGAAATACATAAAATGAAGATTATAGAAATTCAGTGGCAGGAGACTCACAAATAAATTGCTTAGTCAAGTGAGTAAACTCTTTAGCTCATTCTTTGACCTATTTGATTTTAGGAGTTTGGTTTATGGGGATCTTGGGTAAGGAGCATACTCCAAACTCTTGGTATTATCCTCCCAATAGTCATAATAATAGTTTCCCTAGTGCTCTGTATTCTCTCAAAGGTTTTAAATGCTTGCACGCAGCCATCTCTAGAATATCATATGATCTCTCTTCAACTGTAATAACAGGAGCTGAAAGAAATCTGCAACCATGAGGACACCGTAACCTATAAATGATGTGCTGAGACCAGAAACCCAAGTTGATGGTAAACACCGTAACCTATAAATGATGTGCTGAGACCAGAAACCCAAGTTGATGGTAACTGAGAGTAGCGCTAAGGCCCTAAGTTTTGGTTACACTCTCACCTAAGTGAGAGCCTGACCAAAAAGGGGGATTTTTTTTTAAACAACCTTATGGTAGACCATTATTTTGGACTAATCCATTGATTTTTGAAAGGCAAGATTATCATGAGTATACTGAGAAAATCGGTTCCATAGAAAATATATGGACTTTAACAATTCTTAATCAAATAAGTTTCTTTAGTTTGGATTTTTGTAGCAACATCTAGTTGGTATAGTTAAGCAAAAGTCAAGTGAGTAAAGGATTGTATCAATCAAAGATCTGACAAGTAGAAGCTGATCAGAGTAACAATGCCTTAGAATGACTCACCTATAATGAAATGCTGACAGCTACAATGAAGTAGTAATTAAGATTAAAGGTCTTTGAAATGCTTTAGCAAAGATGCTTTAGATCATCTTTTGAATTTACCAGAAAACAAGCTCTTGATTGAATAATCAATAAAAAATAGACTCTTGCAATTTATTTTTAAAGATATGTTTTCTTTACTGAGATTAATGCTGCAACAAAATTGTTTTCTTGATTTTCATTTTTTGAGTGGGTGTTGGGAGTGGCAGGGTGGGAGAATCCAAAAAGCATCTCCTCCTACAGTGTGAATGCAGTAAATTTAAAAGCCCAAGGTTGATTTTTTTTGGCATGTACAGTATTCTAGACAGTGCATTGATGGGTTTGAACTTTTATACTGACTAGATTGTTCATACCATCAAATGTGATGGGAATTGGATGAAGTTGGGGGAAAAAATCTGATAAAGAAGACACATTCAAGAGAAAGAGGAGAGGAGCGAGAAAAGTAAGCAATGCTGTCTTTCTGGTGTTCTGTGATGCACAATATAAGTATGAAGGCACGACTGCTCTTTCTGCTTTCTCAATTGACCTATATACAGGTAGTTTTGCTTGGCTTGAAATACTGAGTATCTAAAGGTCTGGAATAACATGCTTCAAAAAAAAAACTGTTCAAAAATAAGTTGAAAATAACGGTGGGAATTCTAAACAAAAGGCTAGCTAATGAAAGGAAAGGGTGAATAGGAAGTCAAATTAGTAAATTAAGTATTCAAAATACTTGATATAGGTTTCCATAGAGAAAAGACTACATTTAATTTACTACAGAATAAAAACTAAGCTAAAGGATATTGTCTATTATCTTTGTAATATAATAAAATACAAAAAATGTTGAGTGATTCACATATATGAAATGAGGAATTAAATGAGCAAAAAATTAATGGTTTTTCAGGGGTCATGATATCCACTTAATATATGTTATATTATGAGGTTTCTCGAAATAGTGCTGTCTTGGGTAGAAAGAGGTCCCCAAAGGACAATCTTAAAACCCAAATAGTTTCAATCCTTTTGTCCTATCTTTCTAAAATTTAATCTACAGTTAAACATTTTGGCCGGGCTTGGTGGCTTATGCCTGTAATCCCAACATTTTGGAAGGCCAAGGCAGGTAGGTCACCTGAGCCCAGGAACTGGAAACCAGCCTGGGCAACATGGCAAAACCTCATCTCTATAAAAAATACAAAAATTAGCCAGGCACAATGGTGCGCGCCGATGGTCTCACCTACTCAGAAGACAGAGGTGGGAGGGTCTTTTGAGCCCAGAAAGTTGAGGCTGCAATAAGCCTTAATTGTGCCACTGCATTCCAGCCTGGGCAAGAGAGTGAGACTCTGTCAAAAAAGAAATAAAAAGGAGACTCCTGAAGATGGCGGTTAGGGGCTTCACATGACTCTAATAATATAACTCTATATGCCCCATAGGAACCTTGTGCTCTTATCAATGAACTTTCATGTTTATGCCTGCTCCTACATGTGCTATTATGCATTTCAACTCATCAGCGCCACTATAGCACCAACTCTATAGAATCTGTCAAAAATTTACCAAATGTCAAGACTTTGCTCAAATCCAAAAGTTTTCATGGCATAGATGAGTTTATATCTGTAGTACTCAAATTGTTATATACTCGTACTTTTAATGAATGCAAAACATTCATGCATTATTTCATTCATTTATTCATTATGTGATTTATTTAGAAAGACATACTACATTCCTATGCTAGCGGACTTCAGAGATAGAAATTTAAGTGGTACTACTGGCTGGAGAAGAAAAACACAAACATAATGACTTAGTTACTATATGTAACATGATAGAAATGCATTTAGAACAAAATTGAGGAACAAAATAAAGTGTGATCAATTTACTAAAGCAGTCAGGGTATGGCATACCAACCCTAGGTGAGCCCCAATGATCCCTACCTCCTGGTGTACATGCCTTTGTGTAATCCCCTTACTTGAGTGTGGGCAGAAACTGTGACTTGCTTCTAACCAAGAGAATATGGCAAAGGTGATATGATGTCACTTCTCTGACTACAACACATTCTGCAAGACTCTGTCTTAGCAGACTGGACTGAAAAACTCATGACAAGCCTTGAAGAAGCATGCTGCTATGACATGTATGAACTGCTTATTAAAAGGTTCAAGTGGCATGGAACTGCAGGCAGCCTTTAGCTGTTAAGGGCTTCAAACCTCCAATTGCAAGGAACTGAATTCTGCCAACAATCATGTGATCTTGAAAGAGGATTCTGACGATATATTGATTTCATCCAGTGAGCAAATCATTGTAGAATTCCTGGTGCACAGGACCTGGGAGATACTAAATGTGTGCTGTTTCTAGCTGCTAAATTTGTGGTAATTTGTTACACAGCAATAGAAAACGGATATACCGATGAAGTTAGGAAAAAAGTTTTTTCAGTCAAGTGCTACTTGAGAAAAGTGAGCTCTGATCTGAAGAATGACTATTATATTGATGAAAGTCTGCAAATTCAGACAAAACAAAAAGCCTTTATTTAAGACATTGGCATAAGCCATTTTAAGTGCCCAGAATGATACACCTGGTCCTCCTCTGGCTCTGGTAAGAGGAGTTATAAAATAATGGAAATGTTCCTTGTACTTGTTCTAAAAAAATGTTACTTACATGCCTCCGGAAAACACACACACACACACACACACACACACACACACACACACACACAATTGGGAACATTTTGGCCCCCATCTATAAATTCATTGATCATCCTAAATTGTTTTTTCTGGCTTCCAGATTTAAATCAATGTTGTCTTGCTGACTTACTAAGCAATTAATATAGTATCACCCATGTAATTCAGAAAATAGCTCAGGATCTTCCAACTACATGTGTATATGCATCCACCCTTTCTCAGATGCAAAATCTGGCCCCATCACATATTTTCAGATGACATCTGTTCACAGCAGGTATTGAAATGTTTGTGTAGTCTTTCTTAAAGTCCTTAAGGTGGTAGAAAAGGGTCATATTTCACAGTGCAGAAAATCACACACAAACGCACACACACACCACACCCACACACACCCACACACACATTTATATCCCATGTGAACTGTTTGTGCCATCATGGCTGCTTCCTGGAATTCACTCTCTCTCTCTCTTCTTAAACAGATGACCAATCTTGTTGGCTCTTTCTTCTCCTTCCTAGATTGTTCCTTGGAGAATTTGAAATCTTTTATTGTTTTGCAGAAAATGTAATAACTGCATTTTGATGCTTCAGCAATTTCTCCAGGTACCTCACCCTGCTCCAGGTGGATAAACAAGGAAGAAAGGTGTTTCTTCTTAATAGATACAATGTTCTCATCAGAAAACCTTGTTTGGACTTACCGATGAAGTAACATCTTTGGGCCATTTTGTGTAGCTGCTTTCATTGTGAAAAAACGATCAACTACCCCAGACCAAAAAAAAAAAAAAAACTAGTTTGGAACACCCAAGTCAATGATGTTAAAGCTATAGTTTCCTTATCAGCAAAGTTCCAGTCTCTGCATTACAGTTTTTTTTTTGAATATGAATTGAGGAGCATTTGCTAGACCAGAGATTATTGTTCTACAGAAATAAGTTATTCTTGGAAGAATAACTGTCTAAACCATGTGCTGTGTATGCTTAACCTCTGCTTGATATGTACTTCTGATTTTGACTGGAAATAATAAACTTTCTAAGTAACAGGTACTTTGGGTAAATCTTCATGTCCTGAAGAGCAAGAAATATATCCAACATTAACACTGGAACCTTACTCCTTAGCATTTATAAAGGAGTTATGAATTATTAGAGGTTTAATAAGTTTGGAATTTTACTGTAATTCATGATTAAATATTAAAGAGTGACCTAGAAGTTCAGGTTGAAGAAGTTAGACTTCAGAAGGAACAAAAGTGAATATAGAGAGATGTTCATAATCAGAGTAGAATAATAAAGAGAAACTTATCATCAAGAAATATTTCTCAAAGAGAGGGAAGGCATACTATACTGAAAGATAAAATGTATTATGTAATAGAAATCGCTAGGTCAAATGACAGGGTGTGTGACCCTCTCTTTAGCAGTGACACTTTCTCAGCCAGACAGCCTAAGTTTGAAACCCAACTGTGATGTTTACCGGCTTTGGACCTTGGGCAAGTTATTCAATTTCTTTGGCCTTTAATTTTTCCCATTTTTAAAATGGACATCTTCCTCATAGTGTTGTTTCTGAATTAAATGAGCGCTTATAGTAATGCCTAGGACATTTTAGGTGCTGACAATAGTTGATACGTTTCTAATGAGATCAGAAGTGAGGGGTCACAAAAATAATACTAACTGAGAAATTATTAAAATAGGGCATAGAGGAAAGCAGAAGAAAAATGAAGCAGTACAAACAGAAAGTAGTCCCCTATTATTCCTGGAGGAATGCCATATACTGGAAGAATTTAATAATAACAACACTTGTCTTCCCGTTGTCATTTTTTTTTGGGGGGGGAGACAAGAAATGTTTTCATAAAAATGGGTGTGGCAAAATATGGTATTGCAATAAAAAATTATAAGGGCATAACCAAACATGAAATTAAGAGAAGATTATTTTCAGTTATCAACTGTAAGCACAAACAAATATGGCATGGATCAGAGATGTGTAATTTGAAGTTGCAGTTATGAAGTCAATATTAGTATGTATGCCTAGATGAAATATTGTATTAGAAGGTCCTTTTTATTTTGCAGTCACATCTCAGTTATGTGTCAGAAAACATGGACAGTCTTAAAATTTCAAACTGCCTATCTTTGGCCACTCATTTGCATTTTTGGGTTCCTGACAACATTTGCTTAAAGGGGTACTGAGCTGAATTTTAAGGAAAATTACCATGTCATTAAAAAGCCTTGGGACAATTATGAGGAAAGAGTTAGATTGGCATAAAAGAATGGGTAATAGTACAAATATTAGGTGCTATTGTAATTAAGAGGGGAGAAGAAAATATCATTCTGGATTTTGCAATCTTGACAGTTTTCATCAAAGCATAGGAATATTGAATTGCTATAAAGATGACCTGGACAATGATGTCTAGTTTCTGTTCTATACAGAAAAACATTTTCATAGAATTCATTCTAGATACAAATCTTTATGAGGTCATGATTATCCCAGAGCTCTAAAGTGAAAGTAGAGATATGTACTCAGATGGCAGGAAGAGAGAAGTGAAGAGTGGAAAAGCAAAATCCTATGTGAAAATTTTTGGGGGTGCACTTCCATTTTACTTTATTTTTTTCTCAAGGCCTTCTATTACTTGATATAATGTTAAAGATCTTTAAATTCAGCAAAAATACAAAAAACGGGCTATGCAAATTATTGGCTCAGTTTTGAAAGATTGCTGAACCTTCTTTTATAAATACTGTGGGAAAATATACAGTTGTGTATTATGACATACAATACAGTGATTTGGACTACATCTTTTATCTGGTTCCCTGTTTAAACTTTTTAAAAATTTCTTTATTCTGCTTATCTGACAGTTGATGGGGTCTAATATATTTTTATATCTCCTAAAATTGCTTACTCAAATAAGTAACTCCCTCTGCCAAACAACTCTTGGCTCCTACCTGGTATTAGTTCCCAGAAATATTTCAACTCACACAACAATTACAAATTGCAAATCCAGAGCCATCCCAGGCTTTACTTTTGCTCTTCTGTTAATGATAAGACCATAAGAAATAGACTATTAGCTAACAGAATATCCAGAAATTATTTATTTGTCACCTATGTCCTCCAAAACTAGGGATTCAACTTGTGGCTAAAAAGAAGTTCTTAGAAAGAATTTATGAGTTACACATTTTTAAATAATCGAATAAGTGTCTTCTCATGAGTTCTTCACTGCACTCAACTTGGCAATCACTCTCCTCTATATGATCAAAAATATTCTGCAAAAGTAGCTTTAAAGAGTGTTTGGAAATTTTGGCCTTGAATTTATTTATTTTTAAATAAATTCTAAATTCACTTCACCATACATCTAAGCAGGGCAATTTGATATTGACTGTTTTCTTTCCAGTGCTTCTCTTCTGGGAATACGTGAGCTATCTGAGTACAAAGAACCTAGATCTTTGTCCTAATGCTACACATTATCATGTTACAGGTTCATATAGAATACCTAAAAATGTATAATATTTTGGTATAAATTTATAAGAAAAAATCCTCCAAGATCAAATCCAAAATTACCAAGAAAAAAATTGTATCTTCTCAGAAAAATAACCTCCATGAATTAAAAAAAAATTAAAAACTTTCAAAAAAGATAACAAGGAAAAGAATGTTGAGCTTTCAGGAGTTTCAAAAATGGGAGCAAGTGTGTGATACCTAAGAAGTTTACAGCTATTATTTGGTACAATTGAATTAAAAAATAAAGAGAAACATTCATTTTATTAATCTTTCAAATTGAATGTTGCTAAAAGAAAAAATCAAAGGAAAAATAAAACAATAATTCTGACTACAATTGTATTTAAACACATTGAAATTTTTATACATAAAATTCTGAAAATTCCTATCTGGTTAATTCTGTTTAAAACTATATATATTAACCTCAGTAAAATTAGACATATTGGTGGTAAAATTGTACTTGATAAAATGTGTTACTGATTAAAATCAAATAAGATAACTAAATGTTTTAACTATTAATATCTCCAAATTTGATCAAGCAAAATGCACTTAGCCAGAAAATAAAACTGCAAGACAGAAGTTGTTATAAAATTTGATACAAATTATAGAATTAAATGAATCTATCCTTATAGTACAATTTATGACAGAAAAAATGAAGTTACATGAAAGTAATTTAAATATTTTATCTTCATATTATGGAAAATTATCAAAACACATTTGTGTTAACTTCAAAAACTGTATCTCAAAATTGACTGTTTATGCACTTATCAAATATTTGCACTCATCAACATGAATTTTGGAGATCCACAAGGTAAAAAGATAAGTGAAAAGTTAATCAAAATAATTGGTTCAAAATGGTAGAATAAAAATATTTTTTATTTTAACATCTATACACAAATACTAAAGAAGTCTGATTTAGCCAAAATTCTTCACATCCATATGTAATTTTAAAAGACCATGATTGTTGTAATTGATAGAGGAAGTGAATTTCTGCATGGCTTTATTTCTAGATGCCTATGAACATTGTAGTTTCAAAAGGTTGTTGTCAATTAAGTGTTGTAATTCACTTAAGAAAAAAAGGAGAAAAAGGAAATATGACACTGTCAGAGTTACTCTGTTTTAAGCTGTGAACAGAGAAAAAATCATTTCAAAGTTTTCTAAACTATAGCTAGCATTATTTTAATATTAGATATTGGAATATATGTATTATAATTCTACACAGGCCTCTAGGTCATGTTTGCTTTTTAGTGACTCTCATTTGAATGAGAGAGGAACAAAAGCAACTGAACAGAATCTTGAACAGCCATATAGAACAACCTAAGTGCCAGATCCTCTTTTTTGTTGTTGATCTTATAGTATTTATCTCTTATTGTTTCTGTTCCCTGTGGTTCTTATGTATCACCTGCTAACCATTTGGCCTAATATACTGGCCATCAACTCCTGAATATACCATTGCCACTATTGAAAATAAACAAATTGTATAGACTTTCAAATAAATTTACCTTCTATATGTGTTTTTATTTCTGTTAGTAGATTCATTTTTGCCTTGACCTTCATATTTCATTTGACATCTGCTTTCCTCGTTTTCTATAACATTTTCATTTTAAGATACAGAAATCGTAGCAAATCTTTGTCATGGATATTATCATGAATGATTTCAAAATTAGGTATAGATTTTTGACATAGATAAAATGATGCACAACGGAAGATATGACTGATAGTCAATGGTTATTTTTCTTAACTACAATCCAAGGTTACTATAATTATTTGAAAGAGTAACTATGTACTGAGGGAGGATACACACTTATACCATGATAACTATGTAAGAGAAAGATACCCATTGCATCACAAATAAAGCAAAGCGTGTCTGTAACAGGGTTTGGGGTGGATCCACATTTTTTGCTCTGCAATGAAAACAGAACCATTGTTTTACTCTTTAAGGCAGTGTATTGAAAGTAGTTAGCAAAACCCCTGTATCATCTACCCCAATCATTGAGAAAACTGATGTTTCCCACATATCAAAAGGAGCCTGGAACAAAGATACATAATATATAAATTTTTTTTTGGCATTCAGTTTGAAAAGTAATGAAGGGAATATGAACATACAACAACAACAAAAACAAAAGGAACAATCTCTCTCTTTTGGTAATATAAAATCTTTGTTTCTTTTTAATCAAAATAATCAAAACACAATCTAGTCCCTAAAGCAGACGTACCAAACATTGACAATCTCTAGAAGACACCTGGGTGGAATTGAACCTTGATAAATGCATACACACACACACACACACACACACTTTTTTTTTAGTGTTAAGAGTGAATTTATTCATGCATGTATTCAACAGATATATATTGAATGCCCCATATGTGTCATCTGCTCTACTAGGCATGAAAAAATGTTTAGAAATAAATAAAACAGGGTCCCTAGCGAGAGGTAATTCAACATCTAGGAATAAATACACACATCAACAAATAAATTCTAAAATAATGTAGTATGTGCAGCAATAGAAAAATATATGTATTAACATGAGAACACTATAGAGAGGCATCTAATTTAGGTTGATGGTACTAGGGGAGAAGCAAAAAAGACCCCCTGTAAGTGCTGATAACCAAACTAAACTTTAAATAATTCAATTCATTTTTTCAGAAAATATTTGTTGAGGGTCTACTACATGCCAGACACTAGTGCTGGCAATAGATCAAGAAACTAAATATTTTAGTGCATGAATTCCATTTACAATTTACACTCTAGTGGATGAGAATTTAGTGAAGCAAATGGCAGGGGTAGGTATAAAGGAAAATCACAAGGTGAATTATGCTGAGTTTAAAACTTGAGAAAGTTACAGTGAGAAACTAAGCAAGAGTTGGGGATAGCGGTCATAGTATAGAAAGCCGGTAGCTCATGTTAGTGCTTGGTACTACGAATTGGAAATGAATTTAGTTCTCTCTATATAACTTCTTGCATGTAACTTTGCAAAATATTGATTAGCAAGTGTCATAGTTATATTTTTATTTGTGACAAATCTCTGAGGAATTATATTTAATATGGCAGGCATTATGGGAGAGACAAATACCGAAGCCAGATAATTTAGGACATTTCTGCATCTCAGTATTTAATCTCCACAGACTGGCATCGTCATCTTTACACAGGTTCTACAAATGAAGTGAAGTATGAGAATTTTTGGCTAAGAAGACTAGAACTATAGTTAATCATGTTATATTGTATACTCTCAAGATATGGTATTATTTTATAACTGCAGGATTGCAGAAACCTCACTTGGAGGCCTTTTGCAGTGTTTGAAAGATGACAGGATCTTCTATCATCAAGATTTTCCTGAACAGTATAGCAGTTTTCTTTTCAATGCTATAGTCACATAATTAATCATAATATTATGTGACTATTAAGTAAAAAAGAGAGTAATATAAAAAATTTAGATGCTGATCATGAGGCTAGATCAAATTATATTCTGATGTAGTGTTTAAAATGCACTTCCTTTTCCGAAAGCTTTGAAGTGTTTGAGCTCAGGATCATACTGCCTAATCTTGTCCCTGGATCAACTTGGTCATAGTATGTTTAAAGCAGATCAGGCCATACAGCATCTGTTCCAGAAACCTAAGATGTCTGATTGCCATGGAATTACATTCAGACTGTTTGAAGTGTATCTTTTCATGCAATACAGAAGTCATCCTTCTAAAACGCTACTGTGAGAGGGCAACCATGACTAAGAAACTGTCGAAATAAGTTCTGCCTAAGTGCTTTTTAAGTGCAAATAGTTTGAGAATGAAGTGTCTCATACAGAACAGTACTTCAGAGAGTAGGCACTCAATAAATATTAAACTACAAGAGTCCACACTAAAATAGTTCTTAACAAACAATAAATCAACTTCACTCTCACCAAGATCTACTTCTTGCATACCAAATGTGCATTTGGTGCTATGTACATATATACAAGTCAAGAGATACTTTTTCAGGTTCAAGAAATTTAAGAACAGGCAAAATAAAAAATAAGGCAAACACACATACAACTAGGGATTGGATAACTGACTTTTCACCGAATCAGTGTTACTTCAGCTTTCCCATGGAACATGCTCTGCCATGCAAGCTCCGCCTCCTGGCTTCAAGCTTCCTTGAGTAGCTGGGACTCAGTAGCTAGGACTCAGTAGCTGCCTCAGCCTCCCGAGTAGCTGGGACTACAGGCGCCCACCACCACGCCCGGCTATTTTTTTTGTATTTTTAGTAGAGATTGGGTTTCACCATGTTACTCAGGAAGGTCTGGATCTCCTGATCTTGTGATCCGCCCACCTTGGCCTCCCAAAGTGTTGGGATTACAGGCGTGAGCCACCGCGCCTGGCCCTATATCTAAGTTTTAAAATAATTTAAAACACTTGTGTGAGGAAAATCATCTCAATGAGCTGGTGTGTTGCCCTTACAAACTATTTTTGTCCATGGCTGAGACAATGAATCCATAAAAAAATTTAATTAATTAATATCCATAATGGATGGACTCCAAGAGTGCCCCTACCTTCCACCTAACAAACACACTCTGATTCTTCTCTCCCAGATAGACTATGTCATTATCATGTAATTGAATCTTGTCTGGCTTCTACCTCTCTGCCCAAGCCCTTTGGATGGATCCCAAAATCCTTTGCTATAAGTCTCTGTCTCTAAATTCTTCCTGGGTTTCCAGTGTGCAGATAAGGCTGGAGGCTTTTTCCCACCCTTTGCTTAGCCAGCCTCTTGAAATTATACTTTACTGGGAGGGGAATTTTTATAGAGAGAATATGAATTGATTTGTTAGAAGTAACAAACATTAACTAGGAAAGCAAATAAAATAGAAAGGATAAAATATTTAAATGTGGAATCTTTGCAATGTGTAGAGTTTGTTCAAGCGTGAGCAGTGAGTCTGAGAGGAAATGCCAAAACCAAGCCTGACACAGTGGCATGGCCTGTAATCCAACTATGAGGGAGTTTGAGGCAAGAGAATTGCTTTGTCCCGGGATTTCAAAGTTGTAGTGCACTATGATTGCACCTGTGAATAGCCATGCACTACAGCCTGGGCAACATAGTGAGACCCTCATTCTGGAGAAGAAGAGGAAGAACAAAGAGGAGGATCAAAGTTACTCTACATCTATAGAAAGACTGCAACATCATTATAGGTTTTAAGAGATTTTATTGATATTATAGATAAAAAAGTTTGCAAAGAAGGGATTTGTATCTTCTTTAGTTGGAGATATATATTAAAAATGGGATGACTTGTATGCCTTCAATGAGTTGAAATATGTGGATACTGATATTGTCAGGAAAAACCTATAATGTGACTTAATGGTCGACTTTGGTTATTCTTTTTAACTCTGATTGTTAAGTGAAGGCAGGCAAACATTCTAATTATGTTCAGTAATTGTTTCTTTGAATTTTCACAATGTTAAAAATGCAACATCCATATAAATATAAATATCAAAAATAGTGTTTTACTCAAACATTTTTATCTCAAAATTATCTCAAAATTATGCTGGCAGTGAAGATGTCGTTCATAACTATAGATCAGTTTTCTTTGGGGGGTCTATATCAGATCTTCTTTGGGTAATTTTAATATTTTTTATTTCTTTTAAAAATGTCATGGGAATATAGTGTATATATTTACAGGGCACATGTGATATTCTGATACAGGCATACACTGTGTAATAATCACATCAGGATAAATGGGTTATCCCTCACCTGAAGCATTTATCATTTCTTAGTGTTACAAACCTTCCAATTATACTCTTTTAGCTATTTTTAAATGCACAAAGGCCTTTTCTGCATCTATTGAGATAATCATGTGGTTTCTGTCTTCGGTTCTGTTTATATGCTGGATTACATTTATTGATTTGCGTATATTGAACCAGCCTTGCATCCCAGGGATGAAGCCCACTTGATCATGGTGGATAAGCTTTTTGATGTGCTGCTGGATTCGGTTTGCCAGTATTTTATTGAGGATTTTTGCATCAATATTCATCAAGGATATTGGTCTAAAATTCTCTTTTTTTGGTTGTGTCTCTGCCCGGCTTTGGTATCAGGATGATGCTGGCCTCATAAAATGAGTTAGGGAGGATTCCCTCTTTTTCTATTGATTGGAATGGTTTCAGAAGGAATGGTACCAGTTCCTCCTTGTACCTATGGTAGAATTCGGCTGTGAATCCATCTGGTCCTGGACTCTTTTTGGTTGGTAAGCTATTGATTATTGCCACAATTTCAGCTCCTGTTATTGGTCTATTCAGAGATTCAACTTCTTCCTGGTTTAGTCTTGGGAGAGTGTATGTGTCGAGGAATTTATCCATTTCTTCTAGATTTTCTAGTTTATTTGCGTAGAGATGTTTGTAGTATTCTCTGATGGTAGTTTGTATTTCTGTGGGATCGGTGGTGATATCCCCTTTGTCATTTTTTATTGGGTCTATTTGATTCTTCTCTCTTTTTTTCTTTATTAGTCTTGCTAGCGGTCTATCAATTTTGTTGATCCTTTCAAAAAACCAGCTCCTGGATTCATTAATTTTTTGAAAGGTTTTTTGTGTCTCTATTTCCTTCAGTTCTGCTCTGATTTTAGTTATTTCTTGCCTTCTGCTAGCTTTTGAATATGTTTGCTCTTGCTTTTCTAGTTCTTTTAATTGTGATGTTAGGGTGTCAATTTTGGATCTTTCCTGCTTTCTCTTGTGGCCATTTAGTGCTACAAATTTCCCTCTACACACTGCTTTGAATGTGTCCCAGAGATCCTGGTATGTTGTGTCTTTGTTCTCGTTGGTTTAATAAATTAGGTATTGATGGGACATATCTCAAAATAATCAGAGCTATCTATGACAAACCCACAGCCAATATCATACTGAATGGGCAAAAACTGGAAGCATTCCCTTTGAAAACTGGCACAAGACAGGGATGCCCTCTCTCACCACTCCTATTCAACATAGTGTTGGAAGTTCTGGCCAGGGCAATTAGGCACGAGAAGGAAATAAAGGGTATTCAATTAGGAAAAGAGGAAGTCAAATTGTCTCTGTTTGCAGATGACATGATTGTATATCTAGAAAACTCCATTGTCTCAGCCCAAAATCTCCTTAAGCTGATAAGCAACTTCAGCAAAGTCTCAGGATACAAAATCAATGTACAAAAATCACAAGCATTCTTATACACTAATAACAGACAAACAGAGAGCCAAATCATGAGTGAACTCCCATTCACAATTGCTTCAAAGAGAATAAAATACCTAGGAATCCAACTTACAAGGGATGTGAAGGACCTCTTCAAGGAGAACTACAAACCACTGCTCAACGAAATAAAAGAGGATACAAACAAATGGAAGAACATTCCATGCTGGTGGGTAGGAAGAATCAATATCGTGAAAATGGCCATACTGCCTAAGGTAATTTACAGATTCAATGCCATCCCCATCAAGCTACCAATGTCTTTCTTCACAGAATTGGAAAAAACCACTTTAAAGTTCATATGGAACCAAAAAAGAGCCCGCATTGCCAAGTCAATCCTAAGCCAAAAGAACAAAGCTGGAGGCATCACACTACCTGACTTCATACTATACTACAAGGCTACAGTAACCAAAACAGCATGGTACTGGTACCAAAACAGAGATATAGATCAATGGAACAGAACAGAGCCCTCAGAAATAACACTGCATATCTACAACTATCTGATCTTTGACAAACTGAGAAAAACAAGCAATGGGGAAAGGATTCCCTATTTAATAAATGGTGCTGGGAAAACTGGCTAGCCATATGTAGAAAGCTGAAACTGGATCCCTTCTTTACACCTTATACAAAAATCAATTCAAGATGGATTAAAGACTTAAACGTTCGACCTAAAACCATAAAAACCCTAGAAGAAAACCTAGGCATTACCATTCAGGACATAGGCATGGGCAAGGACTTCATGTCTAAAACACCAAAAGCAATGGCAACGAAAGACAAAATTGACAAATGGGATCTAATTAAACTAAAGAGCTTCTGCACAGCAAAAGAAATTACCATTAGAGTGAACAGGCAACTTACAAAGTGGGAGAAAATTTCTGCAACCTACTCATCTGACAAAGGGCTAACATCCAGAATCTACCATGAATTCAAACAAATTTACAAGAAAAAAACAAACAAACCCATCAAAAAGTGGGCGAAGGACATGAACAGACACTTCTCAAAAGAAGACATTTATGCAGCCAACAGACACATGAAAAAATGCTCATCATCACTGGCCATCAGAGAAATGCAAATCAAAACCACAATGAGATACCATCTCACACCAGTTAGAATGGCAATCATTAAAAAGTCAGGAAACAACAGGTGCTGGAGAGGATGTGGAGAAATAGGAACACTTTTACACTGTTAGTGGGACTGTAAACTAGTTCAACCATTGTGGAAGTCAGTGTGGTGATTCCTCAGGGATCTAGAACTAGAAATACCATTTGACCCAGCCATCCCATTACTGGGTATATACCCAAAGGACTATAAATCATGCTGCTATAAAGACACATGCACACGTATGTTTATTGCGGCATCATTCACAATAGCAAAGACTTGGAACCAACCCAAATGTCCAACAATGATAGACTGGATTGAGAAAATGTGGCACATATACACCGTGGAATACTATGCAGCTATAAAAAATGATGAGTTCATGTCCTTTGTAGGGACATGGATGAAATTGGAAATCATCATTCTCAGTAAACTATCACAAGAACAAAAAACCAAACACCGCATATTCTCACTCATAGGTGGGAATTGAACAATGAGATCACATGGACACAGTAAGGGAAACATCACACTCTGGGGTCTGTTGTGGGGTAGGGGGAGGGGGGAGGGATAGCATTGGGAGATATACCTAATGCTAGATGTCGAGTTGGTGGGTGCAGCGCACCAGCATGTCACATGTATACATACGTAACTAACCTGCACATTGTGCACATGTATCCTAAAACTTAAAGTATAATAATAATAAATAAATAAATAAATAAATTTTTAAAAAAGCACAATAAATTATTTTCAAATATAATTATGCATTGGGCTGTAAAATACTAGCTCTTATTCATTTTAACTATATTTTTGTACCCATTAACCTCTTCCTCCACTCCCCAAAACACTCCCCAGTCTGGTAACCATCATTCTGTTTGCTCTCTCCATTAGTTCAAATGTTTTATGTTTTAGCTGTTACAAATTGTGAAAATAAGCAAAATTAATCTCCTTGCCTGGTTTATTTTACTTGATATAATGTCCTCTATTTCCTTTCTGGTTCCATTCATGTTGTCGTAAATGACAAAATGTCATTCTTTTTATGGCTGAATAGTACTCCATTGTGTATATGTACAACATTTTCTTACCCATTTGTCTGTTGATAGATAATTAGTTTCCTTCCAAATATTGGTTATTGTGAATAGTGCTTCAGTGAAGATGGGAATGCAGACACCACGTCAATATACTGAGTTCCTTTCTTTTGGGTAAATGCCTAGAAGTGGAATTGCTGGATAATATGGTAGTTCAATTTTGAGTTTTGTCTGGAACTTCTGTACTGTTCTCCATAATGGTCGCACTAACTTTCTTTCCCAATGCACTTCCTTTTCTAAATTTACATTCCAAATACAGCAATTCCAAATCCTCAGGAGCATTCATTATTGCCTGCCTTTTGGATAAAAGTCATTTTAACTGAAATGAAATGATATTTCATTGTAGTTTTTATTTGCATTTCTCTGATGACCAATGAGCACCCTGTTACATACCTGTTTACAATTTGTATGTCTTCTTTTTAGAAATATCTATTCAGATCTTTGGCCCATTTTTAATCAGATTATTACATTTTTTCCTATTGAGTTTTTTGAGCTACTTTTGTATTCTGCACATTAATCCCATGTCATATGGATAGTCTGAAATATTTTTTCCTATTCTGTGGGTTGTCTCTTCACTTTGCTGCTTGTTTCCTCTGCTGTGCAGAAGCTTTTTAACTTAATGGGATCCCATTTGTTCATTTTTGCTTTGATTGTCTGTGATGGTTCATGAAAGATTTGCCCAGACCAATGTCCGCAAGAGTTTCTCTAATGTTTTCTTTTAGTAATTCCATAGTTTGAAGTTTTATATTTGTCTTTAATCCATTTTTATTTGATTTTTATATATGATAATAGTGGTCTAGTTTCATTATTCTGCATATAGATATCCATTTTTCCCAGCATTGTTTATAAATGAACTGTCCTTTCCACAATGTATGCTCTTGGAACCTTTGTTGAAAAGCAGTTAGTTAAAAATGTGTGGATTTATTTCCAGGTTCTCTATTCTGTTCCATTGGTCTATGTGTCTGTTTTAAGCCAGTACCCTGTTGTTTTGGTTCCAATAGCTGTATAGTGTAATTTGAAGTCAGGTAATGTGATTCTCCAATTTTGTTATTTTGCTTAGGATACATTGGCTCTTCTGGGTCTCTTGTGGTTCCTTATAAATCTTAGGATTGTTTTATCTATTTATGTGAAGAATGTCATTTGCATTTTGATAGGGATTACATTGAATCTGCAGATTGCTTTGGGTAGGGTGGACATTTTAACAATATTTATTCTTCCAATCCATGAACATGGAATATCTTTCCATTTATTTGTATTCTCTTCATTTTGTTGATCCAGTGTTTCATAATTTCATTATACACATCTTTCACTGGTTTAGTTTATGCCTAGGTATTTTATTTTATTTGTAGGTATTGTAAATGATATTACTTTATTGATTTCTTTTTCAGACTGTTTGGTATTGACATATAGAAATGCTACTGGTTTTTGTTGGGTGATACTGTATCCTTGAACTGTACTGAATTTACATATCAATTCAAATAGTGTTTCGATAGAGTCCTTAGGTTTTTCAAAATATAGTATCATACCATTGCAAACAATGATAATTTGACTTCTTCCTTTGCAATTTGGATGCCATTTATTTCTTTGGTCTTGTCTGATTGCTTTAATTAAATCTTCCAGTACTATGTTGAATAACAGTGATGAAAGTGGGCATCCTTGTCATTTTCCAGATCTTTGAGGAAAGGCTTTCAATTTATCCTCATTCAATATGATACCAGCTGTGAGCCTGTCATATGTAGTTGTTATTGTGTTGAGGCATGTTCCTTGTATACCCAGTTTTTTAGGGGTTTTATCCTGAATGGATGTTGAATTTTATCAAATGATTTTTCAACATCAATGGAAATTATCTTATAGTTTTTATTCTGCACTCCGTTGATCTGATGTATCACATTCCTGGATTTGCCTATGTTGAGTCATCTTTGGATCCTTGGAATAAATCCCACTTAGTCGTGATTAATGATCTTTTTAATGTGTTGTTGAATTCAGTTTGCTGGTATTTTGTTGAGAATTTTTGCATCAATGTTCATTAGGGATATTGGCCTGTAGTTTTCTCTTCTTTTCTTTGTCTGGTTTTGGTATCGTGATAGTACTGGCCTTGTAGAATGAGTTTGGAAGGATTTCCTCTTCCTCTATTTTTTGGGAATAGTTTGAATAAGATTGGTATTGGTTCTTCTTTACATGTTGGATAAAGTTCAGCAGTGAAGCCATAGAGGCCCTAGCTTTTCTCTGCTTGGAGACTTTTATTATGGCTTTGCTCTAATTACTTATTGGTCTATTCAGGTGTTTTTGTTTTGTTTTGTTTTGTTTTTTGAGATAGAGTCTTGCTCTTTCACCAGGCTGGAGTGCAGTGGCACGATTTCAGCTCACTGCAACCTCTGCCTCTGGGGTTCAAACAATTCTCCTGCCTCAGCCTCCTGAGTAGCTGGGATTACATGCATGCACCACGACATCCAGCTAGTTTTTCTATTTTCAGTACAGATGGGGTTTCACCATGTTGGCCAGGCTGGTCTTGAACTCCTGACCTCAGGTAATCTGCCAACTCGGCCTCCCAAAGTGCTAGGACTACAGGTGTGAGCCACAGTGCCTGGCCCTATTCAGGTTTTGAAGCTCTTCATAGCTCAATCTTCATAAATTGTTTCTGTATATCTAGGAATGTATCTATTTCTTCCAGATTTTCTAATTTATTGGCACATATTTGCTCATAGTATTTTCTAATGGTCCTTTGAATTTCTGTGGTTTCAGTGTCAATGTCTCCTTTTCAATCTCTGATTGTATTGATTTGGATCTTCTGTCTTTCTTTCTTAGTTAGTCTGGCTAAAGATAGTTGATTTTGTTTATTTTTCAAAAAGCCAAATTTTCATTTATATATATATATTTTTTCTAGTTATTTAAAATGCATCATTCTGTTGTTTATTTGAAGTTTCTCTATTTTTTTGATATAGGTGCTTATTGCTATAAACTTTCCTCTTTGTTTTGCTTTTTCTGTATCCAATAGTTTTTCATATGTTGTGCTTCCACTTTTATTTGTTTCAATAAATTTTTCAAGTTTCTTTTTAATTTCTTTATTGGCAAACTGGTCATTTGGAAGTATATTATTTAATATCCTTGTGTATAATTTCCAAAGTTTCTCTTATTGTTGATTTCTAGTTTTATCCTTTGTGTTCAGAGAAGATACTTAGTATAATTTCATTTTTTTGATTTTTTTAAACTTGTTTTGTGGTTTAACATATGGAATATCCTTGAGAATGATTCATGAACTGAGGAGAAGAATGTTTATTCTGTAACCATTGGATGAAATGTTCTTTAAGTATTAGGGCCCTTTGTTCTACAGTGCAGATTAAGTTTGTGGTTTCTCGTTGATTTTCTGTTTGGATGATCTGTCCAATGCTGCAAGTAGGATGCTGAGGTCTCCTACTATTATTGTATTGGGGTCTCTCTCTTTCACTCTAACAATTTTGCTTTGTAAGTCTGGGTGCTCTGGTATTGGGTACATATATATTTAAAATTATCATATTCTCTTGCTGAATTGATTATTTTATCATTATATTATGACTGTATTTGTCTGTTTTTATAGGTTTTGCCTTGAAATCTATTTTGTCTGACATAAGTATAGCTATTTCTACTTTTTTATTGTTTATAATTGCATGAAATATCTTTTTTCCATCCCTTTATTTTCAGTCTGTGTGCCTTTATGGGTAAAATCTGTTTCCTGCAGGCAATACAACATTAAGTCTTTTTTAAAAATCTATTCAGCGAGTTTTTTTTTTTTTATTGAAAAGTTTCTTCCATTTACATTCCATGTTGTTACTGATGAGGAAGGACCTACTCCTGATATTTTGTTATTTGTTTTCTGGTTGTTTTGGCCTTCTCTTCCTTCTCTCTTTCCTTCCTATCTTCCTTTTTGTGAAGGTAGTTTTCATTGATGGTACATTTTAATTTCTGGCTTTTTATTTTTTGTGTATGCATTGTAGATTTTTTTTTGATTTGAGGTTACCATCAGGTTTGCAAATATATATTATATTAACCATTATTTTAAACTGATGACAACTTAATACTAATTGCAAAAACAAACACAAGCAAAGAGATAAGTAATAAAAACTCTTCACTTTAACTTCATTCCCTCACATTTTAACTTTTTGTTTTTTCTGTTTAAATATTTTCATACTGTCTTTGTCTTGAAGATTATTGTAGTTATTATTTTTATAGCTTCATCTTTTAGTCTTTCTACTCAAGATATGAGTAGTTTGCACACCATAATTGCAGTGTTATCATAGTGTATGTTTGTCTGTGCACTTACTATTTCCAGTGAGTATTGTACCTTCAGATGATTCATTATTACTCATTATTGTCCTTTTATTTCAGATAGAAAAACTCCCATTAGCATTTCTCATAGGATAGATCTGGTGTTGATAAAATCCTTTAGCTTTTGTTTGTCTGGAAAAGTATTTCTTCTTCATGTGTGTTGGATATTTTCACTGGATATACTAATCTAGGGTAAAAGATTTTTTCCTTTAACATTTTAAATATGCCATGCCACTCTTTCCTAGCCTGTAAGGTTTCCACTGAGAAGTCTGCTGTCAGACATATTGGAGATATTTTGTATGTTACTTGTTTATTTGCTCTTGCTGCTTTAGGATCCTTTCTTTATCCTTGTGTTTTGGGAGTTTGATTATTAAATACCTGGAGGTAGTCTTACTTGGGTTAAATCTGCTTCATGTTCTACAACCTTCTTGTACTTGAATGGTGATATATTTCTCTAGGTTGTGAAAGTTTTCTGTTTTTATCCATTTGAATAAAATGGGTAAAATTTCTACCTCTATCTCTATATCTACCTCCTCTTTAAGGCTATTTCCTAAATTATGTAGACATGCTTCATTCTTCTTTGTTCTTTTTTCTTTTGTCTCCTCTGACTGTGTATTTTCAAATAGCCTTTCCTCAAGCTAAATAATTCTTTCTTCTATCTTCTTGATCTTGAGACATTCTGATGCATTCTTCAGTATGTCAGTTAATTTTTTCATCTTCAGAATTTCTGCTTGATTTTTAACAATTATTTTGATCTCTTTGTTAAATTCATCTGATAAGATTCTTAATTCCTTCACTGTGTTATCAGGAATTTTATTGAGCTTCCTCAAAACAGCTATTTTGAATTATCTGTCTGAAAGTTCACATATCTCTGTCACTCTGTGATTGGTCAGCGGTGCCTTATTTAGTTTGGTGAGACTGTGTCTTTCTGGATATTCTTGAAGCTTGTGGGTGTCCATCAATGTCTGGGCATTGAAGAGTTAGGTATTTATTGTAGTCTTCACAGTCTGGGCTTGTTTGTACCTGTCCTTCTTGAGAAGTCTTTCCAGGTATTCAAAGGGAATTGAGTGTTTTGATGTAAGTCTGGTCACTGCAGCCGTATCACCCACAAGGGGCACCCCAAGACCAGTAACATTTTGACTTGTACAGACTTGTAGAGGTACTGCCTTGTTGGTCTTGAGTAAGGTCTGGGAGAATTCCCTGGATTAGCACTTAGAGACTCTTGTTCTTGTCCCCTAATTTCCTCACAAGAAAACAGAGACTCTCTTTTTATGCTGAGCTTCTTAGAGTTGACAGAAGGGTGACAGAAGCATCCCAGTGACCACTAGCACTGGTACTATTCTGAGTTAGACCAGAAGCCAGCACAGCACTGGGTTTCACTCAAGGCCCACTTCCAATATTCACTCACGAATCAAGCACTGTTAACTCAGCAGTTGAATCCAGCCAGAATTGTGTCCTTCCCTTAATAGCGGTGAGCTCCCCCTTGGCTCAGGGAAGGTCTAAAAATGCCACCTGAGAGCTAGGGACTGTAATTGGGAACCAGAGGAATCTACTTAGTTCTGTATTCTACTGAAGCTGCATTGGCACCCAAAGAACAAGACAAATTTCTTCTCTCTCTTCTTTCTCCTTTCCTGATGCAGAATGAGTCTCCTCCTGCCCCAAGCCCACAGTGAGAGCTATCTGGAAACTGCTGATGTTTATTCAAGGCCAAAGGGCTCTTCACTTAGCTTTTAGCAAATGCTGCCAGGACTAGGTCTCTTTCTTCAGGATAGTAGGCTCCCCACTGGTCCAGGGAAGATCAAGAAATGTCATCCAGAAGCCAAAGTCTAGACAGGGATCTTAAGATCCAGTGGGGAAGGGTTGTTTGCAGCAATTGGACACTGTTTTTTGTTGTTGTTGTTGTTGTTTTTCTTTTTTTTTCCCTGTTTCCTTGATATAATGTTAAAGCCAGGTACTTTGATCACTCATCTGATTTTTGGTTCTTACAAAGGTGTTTTCTTGTATGAAGAGTTGTTCAATTTGGTGTTCCTGCACTGAGGGGGTAAGTGTGGGAGGAGAATGATCACTGAGGATTCCACTTGGTCCTCTAACTAAAGGCAGTAGTTCTCTTGTAGAATTAGAGATTTTCTCCTGTTAAGGCTTTGGTTCCCCTCAGTTCACACATTTTCATTTCATGAAAATGATATTATAAAGTATGTAATTTTAGTCCATTATTTAAAATTACAAGAAGTTTAAAAAATAATGTTCTTTTACTTTAGTTTCTCTTCAAATGTAAAAATGAATGCTTAAATGACATGTAGTAACAAAGAACGTCTAGATATCGATTTATAAATGCTGTTCAGCTATAAAAGCAATCAAGAATCCCTGAAAAAGTGTTTGAGCCTAAGACTGAGATAGAGATAATACAAAATGAATCCATAGTATAGTGTAGTGCCAGGAAGTATAAAAGTATAAAGAAGAAGGAGGAGGACAACAATGACAAAAAAGAGAAGTACAAGAAGACATGTTAAAGAGATGTAAGAGCAAATGTAAAAGACTTAGCAATTACCAAAAAGGTAGCAAGTTCAGCAACAAAATAAATAACTACAGTATTATATAGCCCTAAGATAAAGTGAATACTATTGAATTTGGAATGATAAAAATAAGTGAGGAAATTGAAGAGGACACACAAAAAATGGAAACACATGCCATGTTCATGGATTATAAGAATCAATATTGTTAAAATGAATATAGTATCCAAAGTGATCTATGGATTCAATGGAATCTCTATCAAAATAACAATTATATTCTTTTTTTTTGAGACAGAGTCTCACTCTGTTGCCCAGGCTGGAGTGCAGAGGTGCCATCTTGGCTCACTGCAACTTCCGTCTCCTGGGTTCAAGCAATTCTCCTGCCTCAGCCTCCCAAGTAGCTGGGATTACAGGTGTCTGCCACCATGCATGACTAATTTTTGTATTTTTGGTAGAGACGGGGTTTCACCATGTTGGTCAGGCTGGTCTCAAACTCCTGGCCTTCAGTGATCTGCCTACCTCAGCTTCCCAAAGCACAGGCATTATGGGTATGAGCCACTGCATCCGGCCAACAATTACATTCTTCACAGCAATAGCAAAAGCAATTCTAAAATTTGTATAGAACCACATAAGGTCTCAAATAGCCAAAGCAATCCTGAACAAAAGGATTAAGCTAGACGCATAATATTGCCTGATCTCAAAAGGTACTACAAAGCTATAGTTGTCAAAACACCATGGTACTGGCAATAAAAACTGACACATAAACCAAGGAAACAGAGTAGAGAACCCAGAAATAAATTCAAGTATTTACAGGAAACTGATTTTCAACAAGGGCACCAAGGACTTACATTGGGGAAAGGGCAGCCTCTTCAATAACTTGTGGTGAGAAAACCACAACAAAAGAAAGAAACTATATGCTTATTTCTCACCATGTGAAAAAAAAAAAAACTCAAATGTATCCAAGAACTAAATGTAAGAACTGAAATTATAAAACTACTAGTGTGAAACATAAGAAAAAAGCTTCAGGAGTTTGATCTGGGCAAAGCTTTTATGAATAAAACCTCAAAAACACAGGCAGAAAAAGCAAAAATGGACAAATGAGATTATATCAAACTAAAAATCTTCTACTTCAGCAAAATAAACAATCATGAATGACAACCTGCAGAATGGGAAGAAATATTTGCAAAACATTAATTTGATGATGGATTAATATTCAGAATGCATAAGGAACTCAGCTCAACAGCAATAAAACAAATAACCTAATTTAATATGATCAAATAATCTTGGTAGATATTTCTCAAAAGTAGACATACAAAAAATACTTTGTTGCTAATATAGGCCAACAAGCATCAAAGTCTTCCACAGTCTTTTCTTTCTTGTTTGTCTCCCATAAGCAATTCTTACAAGTCTAGGGGTGATAAATTTCCTCAGCTTTTGTTTGTCTGGGAAAGACTTTATTCTCTTTTAACTTATGAAGGATAACTTTTCTGGGTATAGTATCCTTGGCTGACAGTGTCCTTTTTTATTTTTCTTTCAGAAGTTTGAATATAGCGTCCTATTCCCTCCTGGCCTGTAAGATTTCTCCTGAGACATCCACTGCTAGTCTCAGCAGAATATGATGAGAGTTTTCATATAAATGACTAGATATATGATGGGAGTTTTCATATAAATGACTCGATATTTTTTTCTTTTTTGTTTTTAAAATGCTCTCTTTGCCTTTGGCTTTTACCAGTTAGACTTTTAGCATACTATGGAGAAGACCCTTTTGAACTGAATCTCTTTAGGGTTCTCTGAGCTTCCTGTATGTGTATGTCTAAATATCTTGCTAGATTTGGGAAGTTTTTAGCTATTATTTTGTTAAATACATTTTCTAACCCTTTTAGTTTCTGTTCACTTTCTGGGACACCAAAACTTTGAATATTTGGTCACTTTGTGGTGCTCCATATGTCATGCAGGCTTTGTTCATATTTTTTATTTTATTTTTTTTTATTTTTATGTGACTTAATTTTTTTAACCTGGCTTCAAGTTCTGAGATTCTTTTCTCTGCTTGATCTAGTGTATTATTGAAGCCTTCAAATGTATTTTGTATTTCATTCAATAAATTCTTCAATTCCAGAATTTCTGTTTGGTCTTCTTTGGTGATATCCATCTCTTTGGTAAATTGTTCATTCATACCCTGAATTGTTTTTCTGATTTCTATGTATTGTTTATCTGAGTTATTTCTCTTGTATCTCAGTGAGTTTCTTTAAAATCATTATTGTGAATTCTTTTTCTGGGATTTCATAAATTTCTTTATCATTGGAATCTGTTGCTGGAGAATTTTTGTGCTCCTTTGCAGGTGTCATATGTCCTTGCTTTCTCTTGTCCCTGTGTTTCTTGTGTCCTTACATTTATTTCTGTGCATCTCATAATGGTTGCATCTTACAACTTTTTTAAACTTGTTTTTGTATGCAAGAATATTTTTCTGAAGATGTACCTATGTTGTTGGTTAAATAGGGTGGTTTGGCTTAAATTCTGGGTATGTACAGTACTGTAGTATCTATATGATTTCCTTGGCAATAAACAGCATCAGTAGTGTGTGATTTTCTCAGCAGAGTGCAGTTGTCAGTGAGGGCTGTGGTGAGGTTTTGCTAGTAATAGAGATGTTAGATAGGCTAATAATCCTCCGGCCTCAGTGGTGGAACTGGTGTAATGAGCTTGCCTGTCCCTGGGACCCAGGGCAGAAGACTCTGGCACTGATGTGAGTGGGTGCAGGAAGGCTGATTTGTTGGCCTTCAGTAAGCTTGCTCAGGTGCTGGCAGTGTCAGTGGCTGGCCAAGTGGGTGAGTAGATCCTTGGGTCCCAGGTCAGTGAATGTGGCATGAGCAATGACAGTGGTAGTGGCAGGGCAACCTCTGGCTCCCAAGCAGTCTGCACTAGTGTTGGCATTATCTGCAATGTGCTGGGTCAGCCAGTCCCTGGGGTCATATGTGGCACATGTGGGTGGGTTCCAGCTGTAGTAGTAGCATGTTGGGTGGGCCCATCTTCATTCCTCTAGGTGGAGTGCTCAGGTGCCAACTGTAGTGGATGGGGCAGGGTCATCCCCAGCCCCCTAGATAGTGTGCTCTGGCACTGAGGGGGGTGAAACCAGGCTAGTTGGGCCTGTCATCAGGCCCCTTGGTGGTTCATGTGATTGCTAGCTGTGGTAGGCAGGGGTGGAGTTATTACCAGGCCCTCAGGAGAATGCTTGGCTGGAAGAGTCAGCAGCTATACTGTGGCCATGTTGCTGGGGAGGGTACAGTTGCTTTCAGTAGCAGCAGCTATAAACAAGTAACTAGGGAGTGCATGCTTTGGTTCCAAGTAGTGGCTGCAAGCCAGTTACCTTGTTCTCAGGATGCATGTAAATGCATGGCAAACCTGCTACTGGGGGCAATAAGGTCACTGCCAGCCGTTCATGCTTTGGACCTAATGACAGCAGCCAGCAGCAGTGCCCAGCTTTGGGTGGGGGGTATCAATGGGTTTTCAGGGATATGGACATGCAGGAGCTGTTGGATCCAGGGCAGGATGCAGTCTAGTGGGGGCTTGGCTTTTAAAAGGGCACCTTGCTGTAACTGTTTAGGACTCCAGGGTGTGTGGAATCCAGCATGAATTCCCTCTCTGGAGCAATGTCATTGCATGGTTTCTAGGCACCTCCCTATGTTAGTCTCAGCACCTGCGTGAGTTAAAGGGCTCTGGCTGTGGCTAGGATTGCATCTGTGGTGAGAATGTGGACCAGTAGGGATCACTCACTTACCCTTTTCCCACACTGGGGAGCCTCTATAGGCTCTTAGCCAGTCCCAGTCAAGTAGGCTACCCAGCTTCTCTCTTTCTTTGCTCTTGGTGTTTACTGTCACTTCTCTGTTGAAGCCCAGCATTCTCTCTTAAGTGTGATCTATTCTAAGTGTGATTATCTACTCATTATCTTGATTTTTCTTTGTTGGGGAGGTGAACCCTAGATGTCTCTAGTCAGCCATCTTGAAGCTCCTCCTATGAAATGTATTTCTAAAATAATAGGACATGAAAGTTAAAACTATTTATTGAGCCATAAGCTATAAAGTGGATGTTATGTTAGCAAACATGAAAACAACATTAATGTTTTTGTACATCTCCACTGGAACTCTTGAGTGACCAGGCGCATTATCAATGAACAGTAATATTTTGAAAAAAATCTTTTTTTTTTACCTGCACAATAATTATCACCAGTGGGCTTAAAATATTCAGTAAACCATTCTATAAACAGATGTGCTATCATCCAGGCTTTGTTGTTTCATGTGCAGTGCACAAGCAGAGTAGATATAGCATAATTCTTAAGGGCCCTAGACTTTTCATAATGGTAAATGAACGTTGACTTCAATTTAAATTTACTAGGTGAATTAGCCTCTAACAGGAGAGTCAACCTGTCCTTTGATGCTTTGAAGCCAGGCAATGACTACTCCCCTTGAGATATGAAAGTCTTAGATGGCATTTTCTTCCAAAAGAAAGCTGCTTTGTCTACCATGAAAATCTGTTATTTAATGTAGCCACATTTATCAGTTATATTACATAGAGCTTCCACATAACTTGCTACAGCTTCTACATCAGCACTTGCTGCTTTGTCTTGCACGTCTATGTTATGGAGACAGCTTCTTTTTTGAAACCTCTTAAAGCAACCTCTGCTAGCTTTCAACTCTTCTTCTGCTGCTTCCTCATCTCTGTCTACCTACATAGAACTGAAGAGAGTTAGGGCGTTGCTCTGGATTAGGCTTTGACTTAAGGGAATGTTATGGCTGGTTTGATTTATCCGGACCACTAAAACTTTCTCCATGTCAAAATAAGGTTGTTTCACTTTCTCATCATTTGTGTGTTTACTGGAGTAGCATTTTTAATTTCCTTCAAAAACTTTTCCTTTGCATTCCTAACTTACCTGTTTGGCATAACAGGCCCAGCACTCAGCCTACCATGGCTTTCAACATGCCTTTCTCGCTAAGCGTATTCATTTCTAGCTTTTGACTTAAAGTGAGAGTCATGTGACTCTTCCTTTCACTTGAACACTTGGAGGCCATTGTTGGGTTACTTATTGACTTAATTTCGATATTGTTGTGTCTCAGAGACACCTGAGGAGGAGGAGTGAGATGGGGCAATAGCTGGTCAGTGGAGGATTTGGAACACACACATTTATTGAATGAGTGTGCTGTTTTATATGGATGCAGTTTGTGGCTCCCCAAAACAATTACAATAGTAACATCAAAGATCACTGATTACAGATTATTATAACAGATATAATTATAATGAAAAGTTTGAAGTATTTTTATAATTACCAAAATGTGACACAGGGACAAAAAATGATAACATTCTGTCAAAAAGTGGTACCAATAGACTTGCATGACACAGGGCTGCCACACATTTTCAATTTTAAAAAAGGTAACATCTGCAAAGCACAAAAAGTGAAGTGCAATAAACTGTGATATACCTGTACACTCTTGATGGAAATGTAAATTACATAAACAAACAAACAAACAAAAGAACTACCATATGATCCAGCACCCCCACTGTTGGTTATATATCCAAACAAAAGGAATTCAATATATTGAAAGATATCTGGTGCACACTCCTATGTTTATTGCAGCACTATTCACAATGACCAAGATGTGGAACCAATCTAAGCATCCACCAATAGATAAATGGAAATGGGTAAAGAAAATATGTATATATGTATAAGATACATATATATATATATATGTCATTTTGTTTTGTTAAGTGAAATAAACCAGGCATAGGAAGACAAATACCGCATGATTGCACTCATATGTGGAAGCTAAGTTGATCTCATAAAAATAGAAAGTAGAATAGTGGTAACTAGAGGCTGAGAAATGTGGGGGATAGGGATGGATTGGTTAATGGATAAAACATTACAGCTAGATAACAGGAATAAGTTCTAGTATTCTATAATACTGTAGAGTGACTATAGTTAAAGCAATTTCTTCTATATTTTCAAATATCTGGAGGATTTGTAATGTCCCCAACCTAAATCAATTATTATTGTTTGAGGTAATTGGTATGCTGATTACCCTGATTTGGTCATTACACATTGTATACAGAAAGAAACATCACATCATAACCTATAAATATGTACACATATTATGTGTCAATTAAAAATATTCTAAATGTTTTAATTAATTACATGGAGGAGAATATACTATTCTTCCTTACTTAAAAATTTTACTTAATAAATATAGAAGGATGAAAAAAATAGAAATCACCACTAAGCAAACAACATAATAATTTCTGCATGATAGATTAGCATTTTAAAATTACTGAGCCAAAAAATTAGTGATAAATAGATTTATCTAGCGTTAGGGTTCTTCTCCCAAAGTATTAACTAATTATAAAAGGAAAAAAATAAAATTACAGTAAAAAAATCTGGCAAACACCATCTGAACCCAGTGTTTAAGCCATCACCAGTAATAAGACATAGCAGCATTATGTAGTTTCTGATATGATGCACTTAGAAGGGCATATCATGTTTATGGTATTATTTTCCACAAACCTGTGATCTCAAGTGAATCATGAGAAACCATCAAATTCAAATAAAGGGATGCATCACAAAACATTTATTGAAACCTACTCCACATTAATCACCATCTCCATGTACATAAGCAAGTCATTTTGTGAAATTGTAAACAATAATTCAAGAGATCTTTGAAATATTTCTCCTGAAAATTATTCACCAGACCAATTCAGGAAGAAATCAGAGAAATGGGACTGAGTTGTGGATGAATGTTACTAAAAACAAAATATATTACCCAGATCAGGCCATATTAGTCTGGTCTCACACTGCTACAAAGAACTACCAGAGACTAGGTAATTTATGAAGAAAAGAAGTTTACTTGACTCACAGTTACAGAGGCTTAACAGGAAGCATGACTGGGAGGCCTCAGGAAACTTTAAATCATGGCGGAAAGTGAAGAGGAAACAAGCATATCTTACCATGGCGCAGCAAGAGAGAGAGAGAGAGAGAGAGAGAAAGAAAGAAGGAGAAAGTGCTACACACTTTAAAGCCATCAGATCTTGTGAGAACTCACTCACTATCACAAGAACAGCAAGGAAGAAATCCACCCTCATGATCCAATCACCTCCCACTAGGTCCCTCCTTCAACATTGGAATTACAATTTGAGATGAGATTTGGGTGAGGACACAGAGCCAAACCATATTACAGGCTCACAATCCAGGAGAAACTAAAATAAGAAATATACTCTTGCTGGGGTTTGTTTGTTTGTTTGTTTCCCTGAACCATGTAGAGGTGAATTAGGATAAATCTCCTATGGGTGTAGGATTATCATGTTTTCTATTTAATTTTGTTTTACTAGCTCTCACACATGTAAGTACAGTTTCTTTTACAGATATAATTCACATTTATCACAGTTTATTCTAAATACCAAGCTCCAGTTTTGAAACTTGAGAAAATGCCATGAGTTTTTACTTGATTAAAACCAAGAAACTTGTAGAAGCATTTTAAATTTAATTAATATATTTATTATAATCTGTCTTACAAAGTTTCAACTAGAAGTTTATTCTCAGTGTTATTGTTCAAATTTAAACATTAAGATATTCTAGCTGTTTATTTCTTTGTTGTGCAGCTTTGTGAAATATCACTGACAGATTTTTATTGAATTGTCTATAATTTTGTTGCACCACCAGGCCCAGCTAATATTTTGTATTTTTAAAACAGGTGGATTTTGTCACATTGCCCAGACTGATCTCAAACTCCTGGGCTCAAGAAATCTGCCCACCTTAGTCTCCCAATGTGCTGAGATTACAGGCATGAGCCACCACACCTGACCACAAATATAGAAATTCTTAGATATATTCAAGTTTATAAATTAGTTCAGCAAATTTACAGGATAAATTTAAATACAAAAAATCAATTGCATTTCTATACTCTAGCATGAATAAATTTAAGAAAAAAATTTACCAAAATTCCCGAGTGGAATTGCTAGGTAGTATACTATGCACTTGTTTAGCTTTGTAAGACACTACTCTTTTTTATATAAAATATTAGTAGGTCACTTATTATTATTATTAAGCTCCTATGATATGCTAGGCTTGCTTCAAGGTACACTTCTAGGAGATTTACAAAAGCAATGAACAAAACATACAACATTCCTTTTCTCACATAGCACTCCTTTTCTTGTGGGAAGAAAATAACAAAATAAACAAGCAAATAAAATATGTCAAATCCTTGAAAAATGTTAAGTCAGAAAGCACAATGCAGAAAAAAAAAGACAAATAAAGGGAATAAGAAATGCTGGAGGCCAGAACATTTTTTATAGTTGGGTCAAGGAAGACCTTTGGAAGAGGAGACCTGTAGAAACAAAGCTTGTGGCTATTTGAAGGAAGCACATTCTAAATGTTCCTCATCAAATATAAAGTATATTCCTCAGGAGGCAGCAGAAACCACCTGGCCCACAATAATTCTAGGAGTTCACAAACTTTTACATTTTAATTTCTTTTAAAATTAGAAGAAAAAATGAGTGTGATAAAAAAGAATATATAGTAAAACATCCATCCTGGGTTATACTCATCTTTTTCCAATAAAAATCACAAAAATATAATTTTAATTTTTTTCTGTAAAAAGGGGTTCATGAAGACAAATAATCTTATGCTCATAAAATTGTAATGCATCCCTGATAAGAAGCAGAGTGAATGAGGGAGAGTGAGGTACAGGTAAATTCAAGTAGCTGTAGCGCTGGTGGAAAAGATCACAGAGGTCTTTAAGGCAATATGAATTACAATTGGGCCGTTATCCTGAGAGAGAGAGACGATTCAACTATAGAATTATAAGCATGACAACATTTTAGAAGAATCATTATTACTGCTCTGTACAGAGTTGATTGAAAGGACAATGGATTGTTGAAGATACTGACAAAATCAAAGTGAAGCTATTCTCAGCAGGATGGCTCTGACAGAGACTATGTGAAGTGACTGCACTTAGAATCAACAGGATTTGCTAATGGATTGGTTCTGGGGCTATTAAAGGGAGTACCAATAGATGTTCTTTATTTAAAGAAACAAAAAACAAAACTGTGATCAACTGCTAGCTGTCTACTCTTAAATTCTCCAGTAAAAGGTGATGGCTTCTTTCCTAAAATCTTTTTGTTTAGCAGCAACTTCCTTTTCTTCATCCTGACAAATGAATGCAGAAGTATAAAATAAAAGTGTGATAATGGCTGAATAATGATACTCGAAACAGTGTATAAACCTTTGAATTTTTTTGTTTCTCCACTCAGGAGGCATTTTTGGGGAATGGAGGTATGTTAAGGCCATTAGCTCCTTAGTTTCCGATAATAGTGTTAAAAGCAGTTACAGTGAATATCAGATGTCAAAATTAATGTTTGATGCCAATGATTTTCAAACATATACTATGCGAACACTGCAGAGAGAATGAGAGTTTTGAGAAGGGAAGTGCATGATGGGCATTTTCCAGAGGAAGTACTTGGAAGACAAGTTGGTGATGGGTGAAAAGAAAGGAGTGTCCTCTGGAACTGATGAGCAGACTGCCCGGTAATATCTAAACCTTGTACTGAAGATGGGCTCTGCTCCATTATAATTCGTGGCTCTCTGTGAGTAAAGAATATACTTTGAGTTGCTTTTATAATAATGATTCCTTGATCCATCTCATTTTCTTACTTTTTTTGTAAGAAATAATAGTATACACTATGTGAGTCAGTTTCACTAGGGAAGGAAATGTCTGGAAAAGAAATACTAACTCCCTAAAATGAAGATCAAAGTTATAACTATGGCTTCATTAACAGAATGCTTAGCCAACTGAGCCACAAACTGGATTCAGTATTTTTGTTTTTTGGAGAAACTAAGAATATAACCAGAATGACACCTAAAACTACAAAGTTTGCTTTAATAACATAGCTGTGGATAGTTGTGAGATAGTTGCAGTATATTGGAGTTTTTGTCAAGAGATTATAAATTTACATTGTTTTCTGCTTAGTAATGTAAATGCAGGGGAAAATTCCTTCAAGGGTTGACACTCTAAAGCCTAATGATATCAATAGGTCATAGGAATTTTATTATCTTATTGTAATTTTACCCGTTGGTGATAACAAATGAGGATACTTTACAATATTGAGGCTTGCAGTCTTCTCAATGAGATAGACTCAAACCACTTGCTGCCTTTTAGGCATCATTTTGCTAAATGGTGGAGTCGGCTTTAGTTTCTGACTTTTCTGTTGACCTGATTAGCTTAACTCAGTATTTAAATTTTATTCATTTATTCATTACTTGTTCCTGTCAATTTTCCAAAAGGATTTCAGGTGAGCTTAACTGAAATGGCCTTAACAGAACCCTAGGCCTTGCTCCTTTTTTTAATTCACAAATCATTGACACTTCTGTACAAGATGGCCTTATCAGAGCTCTAGAATTTTTGTTTTATAAATTGTATTTGTATTATTTATCCTGAAATGTTCTTTGTGCAAATCTACATGTAATTTGATGTTTCATTGGGACTCTTGGAATTGCATGTTCTGCATATCAATATATCTTATTGTTTGAATGTTCTTATCTATCTGCTACCAACAAAGAAGAGATTCCTTAAAAATGAAACATTAAAATTGTTTCTGATAAAAGTTATTTAGTAGTTAAAATATTAATTTACCTTATTTAATTGAAAATGGTTTTGAGAAAGAAGAAAAAACAGAGTATCACACCCAAGATAACGTCTGAAAAATGTTATTTACTATAATAAGCATATCCCTCTGTGAATTTAGACAGGTGAAGTTGCTTAAACTATATTTGTGTTAATGCAGTGGTTCTCAAGCTTTAACCTATTTTAGAATATCCTACAGGATTCTTGAAACACAGAATGCTGGGATCCAAATTCACAATTGCTGATTAAATACATGTAGGTTGGTTTGGGGAATCTGGTTGTCCAAAAAGTTCCCAGGAAGATGATGCTGCTTACTTAGGCACCATATTTAGTGAACCACTCATATAGAGATTATGCCAATGCTCACAATAATTGTATAGCTTTATTATATCTTTCAAAAAGAAAGGCACCAGCTCTAAATTTTAATTTCAGTTATATCATCATATAATACTATATGCAAGCTCTTTTCAAGGTCAGTCTATTATCAGTGGGCTGAATTTGTTTAACATTTAAAATGTTAAATACAAAGCATATTCTGTCTAAGACACATACTATACACAAAGAGAAAAGACTTGTCATTTCTGGTTTCAGTTTGTTTTATTGTGCTTATTCTAACTAATGTAATTCATTTTATGATATAAGCAATACCAGTTAACAGTAGGTAAATTAATATATAATATTAAAATGTTATACAACCAAATATATAACTTCTCTACACTTCCAATGGTAATCACTTTAAATTTTGGCATTTAACATTACATAGATTTGTATGTATATGTGTATTTTTACATATATTACATTTACATATTATTTTAATCAGACATGTTCTTAGCCCACTGTAACTATTTAATTTTATTTCCCTGCAAGAATATATATGTGTATATATATAAATATTATTTTTTTATTATTTTTTTTTGAGATGGAGTCTCTCTCTGTTGCCTAGGCTGGAGTCCAGTGGCATGATCTCGGCTCACTGCAAACTCCTCCTGCCAGGTTCAAGCAATTCTCCTGCCTCAGCCTCCTGAGTAGCTGGGACTACAGGTGCACGCCACCATGCCTGGCTAAGTTTTTGTATTTTTAGTAGAAATGGGGTTTCACCATGCTGGCCAGGCTGGTCTCGAATTCCTGACCTTGTGAACCATCTGCCTCGGTCTCCCAAAGGGCTGGGATTACAGGGGTGAGCCACGGCACCTGGCCCAAAATATAATTTTTAAATAGTTAAATAGTAATTCATCACAGTAATATATGAAAATTACTTCTCTATCAGATTTTGGATATTAATATTTATATTATAATTAACACTTTTTAGAGTGCTTAATTTTTTATTTTTTAACACATAGTAATTATAAAGATTTATGGGGCACGTAGTGATGTTTTGATACATACAATGTATACTGATCAAATCAGGGTAATTAACATACCCATCAATCATTTATGATTTCTTTATGTCAGAAAAATTCAGAATTCTCTCTTCTGGCCATTTGAAAATGCATAATAAAATATTAACTATAGTCATACTACAGTGCTAAAAAACACTAGAACTGATTCCTTCTTCTAGCTGCAATTTTGTATCCTTTAACCGACAACTCTCTTTCCTCTCACCTATGCTTCCCAGCCCTTGGTAACCACTGTTCTACTCTCTACTTCTATGAGATCAACTTCTACAGCCTCCACATATGAGAGACAACATGTGCTATTTATCTTTCTGTTCCCAGGAAACACTTAACATAGTGTCCTCTGGGCTCAACCATGTTGTCACAAATGACGAGATTTCATTCTTTCTTATGGTCAAATAGTATTCCACTGTGCACATGTACCACATTTTCTTTATCCATTCATGTGTTGATGGACACTGATTAATTCTAAATATTGGCTATTTGGAACAGTCTCTTAATTATGTACCTGTTGCTATGCCTGCAAAAATATCTACAAAATGCTGCAGCTCTGTCTAAACCTAAATGAGTTAATCAAGACCCTTCTGCAGCCTGTTAAACTTTCTGTGAATCAAAATATGTTTTCATAGTGTGATCATGGATTATATATGAGGGTTTAAATCTCTTGCTAGTAAGAGTCTCTAAGATTTCCATCCATGCATAGCCATGTCAATTTCTGAGTAATATAACAGTATTGTATTTCTACTAGTGAGTAAACACTTAGTACAGTTCTACTAACTTGCTCTATCACAACCTGGATACCATGTGTCTTAGGAAAAATACACTCCCACTTATTTTTTTTTCTTCATAGTACTTTCATTGAAGGACAGATAAAGTGCACATTACCATAAAGCCAGGGATTTTTGACAACAATCATGTCAGGATCATGTCAGAAACAACTAATTTAGCAATACTTCTGGCATGTGGCATGTAGTTAGCCAGATGATTTTATACTCATGAGGAATGAGAATTTATATGTACTTACAATTGGATTGTTTTTGCTTTTTCTCATTTAACTCTTGGCAAAATCCTTACATTTTTCTACAAACAAAACATTATATATTTATAGCAAATTTCTTTCAACTCAAAACTCAACATGACCCTGCCCTACTTCTTTTATTATACACACTGAATTAGACAAAGACCCTCTCTATTATTTACCCTGGTTTAGTTACAACAGTGACGTTTCTTCTGATGAACTTTGTCCTTAAGAACTTGGAGCTGTTTTGGGAACAAATATAAGAACATCCGGACTCATCTCACACCTTTGTTTCCATCTAAGCTCTGTGAAAAACAAACCTTGAACAGTGACTGGCACACATTAGGTATACAAATAATATTGTTAAATGAATAAATAATTTTAACACTATTAAAAGTTAGCAGATGTTTTACTTTTAACAGAAGCAAACTTAGTTCCTTTTCTAAAAAATCATAACCTGTTATTGACTAGATTTAAAAAGTTCTTGCAATCCTATTATGGGAAATTTTTTCCCAAAACACCTCCACTCTCTAAACATTACTAGTGAACCATATGAACAAACACTTTATCTTTGTTTACCTTGGCAATTTTTCTCTTTCCTCTTGATACCCCTACTTAAAATGTACTCAAAAATGTTGTCTAGCCACTCAGTCTGTCTAGGATATGTCTTCTACCTTCTATATTGTAATCTCTTCAACTTTTCATAAATCTCTTGTTAGTGTATTAATAACATATATCTAGATTCTGTTTCATGGCCAGAGCTGTAGGGCTGATGCCTTTATTGGATGGTTGGCACTCAGCAGGGACTGGGCCATTTGTTGCGGAAAAAGTTTTGGTGTTCATCTTTCACTCCAGGCTCTCTCTCATCTCAGAGAGGGCAACTTTAACTTTCAATTAACATTAGGTTCACTTGGTTTTCAGGCCACCGTTTTTTTATATATTAATTTAAAAATTACATATTCCCTAAAAGAATTTGAAGTACTTTATATAAAATACCTGTGTAAGTCCATTAAAAATTACAGGTTTGATGTAGAATCAGAGTATGCTATATACCTCTCAAATTTACTTAACATTAAAAAAAACTCAATTCCTGTCTTTCACATGCAAAATTCATAATGAACAGTGGATATTGGTTGTTAGAAAAGAGAAACATTGACTTTAAAGAAAAACATCCAGTGATAATTACAACACATTTTAAAAGTCTCTGTGTGCTTATGTTTACTATTATAATAGCATTTATAGAAAAAATTAGGAATAATTTAGATGTGTTGATATTTCTGGGTTTAAAATAGTAGTCATCCTTCTGTCATAAAGCGTATACTGTTTTTGGCAGTGGGCATAAAAATGTTGTCTGGCCACATGAAATTATTCTATTTTGAAAGCATAACATTCATTTCAGTTTTCCAACTTCAAGTGCAGGGCTTAAGACGATTTTGTCATTTTCAGAATAAATATAAAATTCAGTTGGCTTACATCCATATTTCCCCCAAGACATGCAGAAAGAGTTCAAATATTAAAACTGAAATAACTTAACCCTCTATTTAAATTTTGGTGAGTTAATAACAGCTGGAGATTAGGGAGGTATAAATACTTTGGCCAAATTCTATTGCTCTGTTGAAGTTTTGTTTTAACGGAAGTTTGATTTTTTTCTACTGGTAAATTATGTGAGAACCAGCATTTAAATCTGAGCCCTGAAAATTATGAATTACCTTTAATTTTAAGTCTCACTTGTATATTTTTAAGAAAGCAGAAAATAAATACTTACTTCATGGAATGTTGTGAAGATTAAATGAAATATTGCATTAAATGGTTTTTCTAAGTAGCATAAATAATTAGTTATAATAGTATTTTTCCAAGATCTTATTTTATTGTCATGTGGTCTTACATTTTCAAGCAATGTTACCAAAGCTATTTCTTTACAAAAAAGCAAAATATTTTCAAACAAGCAGAGAGAAAAATAATGCCAAAATTTTGAAGAGGCAAAATGGCATGGGATTTTTGAGGAACATGTGTAAATTGCCAAGGCTAGAGAGAAGAGGCTATGAGAGGAAGCAGTCTGAAACACAAGAAGATAAGTGCCTTCCTCTCAGGCCCATTGATGAGTAAATGTTTTCCACACAGACACTGCATCTATCAACTCCAGAAACTGTGTTATATATTCTTTTTCCCCTACTCCTGGAATGTGAACGGGCCATCTTTCCCCCTCTGAGCCTGTGGTTGGCTCAACCAAAATTCATTCGTTGCCTACCTTTACATCAAATCTCCAAAGATGAAATTAGCTTCTCATTTCTCTGGGAAGCTGCTACATTTTAGTTTTAACTCCATCATGTTACTTAATACATTGTAAGTGTATGGCTTCTAGAAGTTCATCGCTATGGCTATCTCTTAAATTTACACTTTTCTAGTATAAGAACTTAACTTTGAATTACCTTAACATTTTCACAGCTTCCAAAAGATCACCTTATATGTAGTAGCTACATAAGATATGGTTATTAAATTGACTTTTAAATTGTACAACGTATATTACTGTTTATATTATATTTAGTAAATTTTATCATTGCTATATCATTCAGAGGCACACACCATTCATCTTTACAATTAGTGGAATGGAGTGAGATTTTGCAAGGTATATTTGGTAATGCATAGTATATGCTGGAATTTCACAAACTGACTTATATATACATAAATTATGAATATTCACATTAGTTACAGATCAGATGTCTATAATTTATGGGGAGAGACTGCAATCCTGTGAGAGGATCATTACCAAGCTTGCTTGCTTACAAAATGAACCACATCTGTAATTTAACTTTTATCAGGAATAAAATGAACATTTTAGTCTTGGTATTTTTAACTTCTCTATATTTTAATGAGTTTTAAACTCAGGGAGAGAATTCTATATGCTATACATTGACTCCATTGAACCACAGCATGAATAAATTAACTTAGTGCCAAAAATATCAGTTTCTAATTAGTGACATCAGCTCTAAATTTACAACAACAGGCAGATAAAACAGAACTCAAAATTAAACATTTTTCTAAATATGAAGATTCTTAATACATATCATCTGATGCTCTATTTAGTAGTGGCACAAAGGGCTTTTTATAGGGGTATATGGATCCTCCTCGTGGGATGTCAGGCAAAACTTTATGCTTACTAATATGTAATGATATTTTGTTGTTGCAAGAAGATAGAGCTATTTGGGAGTTTAAAGAGTGTATATTCTATGAGCATATTAAATCTATATAATGACTTTTCAGTACTAGGAGAAAAATTAGGTACTTATATTTTTGCAGGGTATATTTTATGTCCAACTAAATTTAGGTTCAAAATCCAGTTTAAACATGGACTACCTGTATAGTAATGAGCAAATCAAGAAAATCCCTTGGTTTTCTCATATGCAAATTAACAATAAAAGATTACTCAGTAGCTCTTCCTCATAAGAAATGAAATAGTTTGTTGAAGGCCTATAAAGTCACTGTCTGGTACATAATAAATGCCACATAAAGTATTATTATTATGCTTTGAATTATGAAAGTTACAAAAATATGAATACTAAAATAATAAGTTAAATAAACAAAAAGAAATAAGTACCAGAAGATTACATATGGCAGGTTACATTATTCTGAAAATCCAAAACAAATAATGCTAAACAAGGTATTTTCTAAACAATAAAAATTTTGATTAAACCACTGACAGCCATTAAAGCAAGTAAATAAGAATATAATTAATTCAGGATTGTGTTTACCTGTGGGGAGATGGGGGACAGAACAGGACAGGAACATGCAGAATACATAAACAATTGCCAGCATTTTAGTCCACAGATAATATAACTAGAATATTGGCAGTAATTGTGATTTATTCTGTTCTGTTTACCTAAGTTCCATGAAAATTACAAAAGAAATATAATTAAATTGCTATGAGGGAAAAGGATATGAAAAGCAATTGGAAGGGGAATGGATAAATATATTTTTAATCTGTTTCATGAAAGAATGAATTCAATATTATATCCAAGTGATAGGTGCTGACAAAGTCTCTTCAAAAGTCCATAACAAGTGTGCTGCAGCTCATGGATGAAGACATTCTCTGTCAGGTACCTGGATGTTCCAAATCTGACCTGATCAGGCTAATAATTTTTTTTTTTTTGGAATTTGGATTCCTAAGTCCAAAAAGCTTAAAAATAGGGCAATGGTCAACTGAAGATATCTTGTCATAAATGAATATATTTCAGCAACTGTAATTCATTGCTTTAAGACAGTTCTTACCTAACAAATCATATGAATTACTCTGAACCAAAGGATTTCTTCTAACAACAACATAGTTTTACTGAACTTTTTTTATTACAATCATGCTATTCTTTACAAAGTATTTCAATTAGGGAATACTATTATCACAAATAGGTACTTTGTGGCCCAGGAGATCCTTTTTTAATTGGTAGCATATATTTTAAAAATGATGACAAAAATTATTTTAGAAGGTTTTCTGTTTTTAGAGCTTTACTGTATGGGTTTTTTTTTCAACCTTGTAACTACTGACATTTGAAGCCAGAAATTCTTTGTTATGGAAGGCCATCTTATGCATTATATGAGGTTGAGCAGCATTTATGACTTCAATTCACTAGTTCCCACCAAATATGACAACCAAAAATATCTCTAGATATGACCAAATATCCAGTTGGGGGCAAAATTGCTTCTATACTAATTGAGACTCACTATTACATTGATTAGATGATCAGGTAAACATGTTCAAGTACAGAGAAGAAAAAGAGCCAAATGCAGATCCAGTTATAAGGTTCAGAAAAATGGGTAGTACAGGGTTGAAGAAAAAATGATAGATTTTTTTCCCTAAATTTCTGTAACTTAAGCTGCTAACTCTAGACATAGCTTCAAAATGAGGTATCATAGAGAAAAGAGTTAAAATGATAATCAATTTTAGATTACCAGTGAACTATAGGGCACCATTTTTAACCATTCAGAACTCATTTTGGGTGAGCTAGTCATCCTGAAAAAGGACCTACTGAAAACTGAGATGAGATGTTCCCCCTGGGACTGGAACAATCTCCATTCATTTCCACTGCCAGTTGCTGTGGGTCACTCCTTCTCTGCTCCACCCAGAGTATTATTTAGCATAACTTATAACTGTTTATTAATAGTTATGGCTTAGTTTTTAAAGTAATAAGCACAACCCAGTTTTATATCAGATAAAAAAAATTACTCCAGATAAGAAAAAGAAAACAAACCCCGTTTTGTTTTTTTGTTTTTGAGACGGAGTCTCGCTCTGTCGCCCAGGCTGGAGTGCAGTGGCCTGATCTCGGCTCACTACAAGCTCCGCCTCCTGGGTTCACGCCATTCTCCTGCCTCAGCCTCCCGAGTAGCTGGGGCCACAGGCGCCCACCACAACACCCGGTAATTTTTTGTATTTTTAGTAGACACGGGGTTTCACCCTGTTAACCAGGATGATCTCGATCTCCTGACCTCGTGATCCGCCCGCCTCGGCCTCCCAAAGTGTTGGGGATTACAGGCGTGAGTCACAGCACTGGGCTCAAACCCTTTAAATAACTTAAAAAATAAAACAAGTAAGAAGAGCTCCTCAAATATTAGAAATTTACTTATTACAAAGATAAATATTGGACACCTACACCACACCAGGAACTGATCTATATGTAGATGGACAGCAAAGAACAACAACAACAACAAAAAACCCAGTCTACTTACAAAACATATAGATTCTGTAAAGGCAGACAAAAAAAGTAACTAAATAATATAGTATATTAGAATGTGTTAATAGCTATGTAGAGAAATAAGGCAAATGATATGAACGCTAGGGTAAAGGCATTATAATTTTATACATAGCATTTATAAAATCACCCACTAGGGAGGTAGTATTACACAAAGACCAGAGGAAAGTGAATGAGACAATCATGCATTGATCTGAGGGAACAGCCAGGGCAGCAGTCCATTATTAATGTGCACCTGGGGTATGCAGAGACCAGCAAGTACGGCAGAATTGCTGGAACTGACAGTACATGAGGGAGGATAGTAGATGATTAGATCACAGAGGTAACTCTGGTGCTGTGAAGTTCATTATAAGAATAGTGAGCTTTTAGGCCGGGCGCGGTGGCTCATGCCTGTAATCTCAGCACTTTGGGAGGCCGAGGTGAGCGGATCACGAGGTCAGGAGATCGAGACCATCCTGGTTAACACGGTGAAACCCTGTGTCTACCAAAAATACAAAAAATTAGCCGGGCGTGGTGGCAGGCGCCTGTAGTCCCAGCTACTCGGGAGGTTGAGACAGGAGAATGGCGTGAACCCAGGAGGCGGAGCTTGCAGTGAGCGGAGATCAGCCCACTGCACTCCAGCCTGGGAGACAGAGTGAGACTCTGTCTGGAAAAAAAAAAAAAAAATAGTGAGCTTTTAGATGGGGAGAATGGAGTGTTTTAAGCAGAGGCTGAAGATCTGATGTACATGGTCTGCCTCATTCCGGCTTCTGCTCTGCTGACAATAGATGGAGGAGGCCTCAAGGTCAGAAACAGGAATAACTACTTCAAGAAGTATTGTAATAATCAGGTGAAGCATTAAGGAGACTTACACCTGAGTTGTAGCAGTAGGGTGTATTAGTTCATTTTCATGCTGCTGATAAAAACATACCAGAGACTGGACAATTTACAAAAGAAAGAGGTTTAATTGGACTTATAGTTCCACGTGTCTGTGGAAGCCTCACAATCATGGTGGAAGACAAGGAGGAACAAGTTATATCTTAAATGAATGGCAGCAGGCAAAGAGAGACTTGTGAAGGGGAACCCCTCTTTATAAACCATCAGATATTGGGAGACTTATTCACTATCACGAGAACAGCATGGGAAAGACTTGCCCCCAGGATTTAATTACCTCCTACCCGGTAGCCTCCCACAACACCTGGGAATTAAAGATGAGATTTAGGTGAGGACACAACCAAACCATATCAGAGGGTAACAAAAAAATGTTGAATTCTAGATATATTTTTAAAGTTAAGCCATTTATTTGCTGATGAATTGGATGCAGGATGTAAGAAAAATAGTTGACAAGGATGACTCCAAACTCCGTGGCCTTAGTAACTATTAGGTAGAGTTGATACTGTGTCAATAGGGAAGATAGCAGATGGAGCATATTGTAGAAGGAAGAAGAGGTGTTTAGCCTTGGGTATATATTAGAAATTCTTACTAAACTTACAAAGGTAGTTTTCAAGGAGGTTGTTCAACATAAGTCTGCTTGTCAGCATATAAACTGCACTTAAAGCCAAGGCCTTGAATGCATAACGAGTAGATGGGAGAGTGTGTAGATGGAAAAGATATTTAGGAATTGAGCCCTGGAGCCCTCCACCATTAAAGGGAGAATAGTAAGAAGGAGAAAAGCCAGATCATGTGGTGTCTTAACAATCAAGAGCTTCAATGTTGAAGAAGTGATACACTGTTTCAAATGCTGGTATAGTTTATATAGGATGAGGAAGGAGAATTCAACTTTAGATATATCATTTGGAAGTTTTTGTTTAGCACAACATTAAGATTATGTTTTGGTGTAAGTGAAAGCCTGATTAAAGTAGGATTATGAGAAAATGGGAGGAGGGAATTCTAACACAGCGAACAAAATTGATGAATTTGAAGATTTTATTCTAAAGGGAAGCACAGAACTGGAGTAGTTGCTGAAGGGGAAGTGGAATACTAAAAATGATTTTTTTCAAGACAGAAAAAAAAGAAATGGAAAATGATGGAAATTACTTAGTGGGTAGAGAAAAATTGAATATGTGGGAGTTAGAGGGAAGAATTCTAGAATAATGTCTAAATAAGAAAGGAGAGTGAATAGGATCCGGTTCATAAGTGGAGAAATTTGACCTCACCAAGAGCAAGAACCTTTATATTCTTAGCTACTAAAAGAAACACAGAGTAAAAAGCGTTCAAGAGCAGACAAATTATGTGAATAGCTGCAATGTGGAAGAGTGAGGATATTCTCTTCTAATTGCTTCTCTTTCCTTGGTGAAAAATGGAGCAAAATTATTGAATTGGAATGAAGATGAGAGAGGTATTGAGGGCCTGAGGAGTGAAGGAATCAGAATTGTCTGGAAGAGGAAGACAATTACTGAGTAGAGAAATGTAGTGGGATTGCCAGACAGCATAAACTATCTCATGGATGCTCTAGTCACAGCTCTCTGTTTTTCTCTTACCACATTCCGTTCCATGGAAACTCATTTGGCCTAAATGACACTTTGCATCAAAACAAAACAAAACAAAAAATGGCTTACAGTTTTCTTGACAAAGCTAGGAGGGGCAAGGAATTAAGGGAATGTGCAAGGGATGATTATGATTGACTGTGAACTTTAAAATGAGGGAAAAAAGAAAGTGAGAATATGAACCTATATATAGTCTGCTATGTTTTACTTTGGGGCCATTTCACGTTTCTGTTCCATTGACTGCTTATATTTAATTGACTCTGGATTCAATTTTCTTTTCTTTAAATATGTATTTATTTTCTTGAACACTGGATATTGTAGAACTCTGGATCCTACTCTCTTTCTTTGAGTGTCTTGATTCTTCTTAAAGTGGCTTTTATCTACTGGTTACTCATCTGAATTTCTGTAAGCATCATTTTCAATTTTTTTGAATAGATATTAATCATCTGTTGGGTCTTATGTGATAAAAGTTTTTCTTTTAATTTATATCTATTTACAGGGTGAATGTGCAGATTTATTACATACCTGTATTTGATTATGGTAAGAACTGGGCTTTTAATGTACTCCTCACCAGAATAGTGAACACTGTAGCCAAAAGGTAATTTATTAACCCTCAGCCCACTCTAACCTTTTTTAGTCTCTAACGTCTATCATTCCACTGTGTATGTCCATGTGGACCTAAGGTATAGCTCCCAATTGTAAGTGAGAACATGCAGCATTTGACTCTCTGTTTTTGAGTTTATTTCACTCAGGATTATGACCTCTCTTCCATCTGTATTTCTGTAAAGATATGATTTTATTCTATTTTTATGGCTGCATAGTATTCCATGACATGTATGTACCACATTTCCTTTATCCTATCCTACATTGACAGACAGGCTGATTCTATAGCTTTGCTTTTGTGAATAGTGCTTCAATAAACATACAAGTGCAGGTATCTTTTCAATATGATTTATTTTCCTTTTGGGTAGATACTCAGGAGTGTGAATGCTGGATTGAATTATAGTTTTATTTTTAGTTTTTTGGGAAATCTCTATATTGTTTTCCACAGAGGTTGTACTAATTTACATCCTCACTGTCAGTGTATATGGGGTTTCCTTTCTCCACATCCTCACAAACATCTGTTGTTTTTAGATTTTGTTAGTAATAGCCATTGTGACTGCTGTAAGATGGTATTTCATTGAGGTTTTAATTTGTGTTTCTCCGGTTAGTGATGTTGAGCACTTTGTCATGTTTGTTGGCTGCTTGTATGTCTTCTTTTGAAAAATGTCTGTTCTTGACCCCATTTTATGGTTTTTTAGTGTCGATCTGCAAAACCCAGGTATTCCCCAGGTTATTCAGGACTAATTTTTAAATTCTGTTCCCCATAGATATCTTTTTGAAACCTTATTTTAAGCTTTGTTAGGGTGGATCTAATGCAGTTTATACTCTAGGAAATCCTTACTTCTATAGAGAAGATTTTCTGTTGTTTTAATTTGTCTCTAGAGGTATTAAGGAGGTGATGATGATATCTCTGCAATCAGGCAGGACCAAAATGTAAGTGTTCCCAAGATAGCTCTCCCCTCTAGCATTTCTGTTCTGCCCTCAACCTCATAGCAGCTGCTATCAGAAAACCTTGGAAAGTTTACTTTGTGCATGTTAACTCAGCCCTCAGACATAACTGTGACCACCTTACAAATATTAACAATCAGAATTTAATTATTGTCACTTAAATGAGTGTAAAATAATATTTTATTATGGTTTTAATAAGTAATTTATTGGTTAGTGATATAAATTAATGTATTTTTATTTGGGACTTTTTTATTTGCTGCTACTGATTTTTGGATCAGGGATCAGAAAGATTTTACATTTCATGAAAATTGGCCAAATATTAATTAATTTTTTATTGGATTATACTCAAATGAGTAAAATTATGTTAGGATTAATGTCCATTGATAAATAAGAGAAACATTTTTATGAAAATAATTTTTGGTCAACCAATAATCATCTACTTATATTTAGCTTCATTTCAATACACATACTCTTCCTATTAAAATATTAACTGATAATTTATTTAAAGCTTAACACTTGACCATTGGTTCCAATTACTTCTGTAAAATGTTATTAAATAGAGAGAACAATTAAAATAAAGTATAAATACATTTACAGATTTTAATATTTTATATTTACATACTGTGAAAATACCAATTAATACCTATTTGCCCATTGTATAGTTTTAACTCTTGAAAAAATATTGATGGGCTTTGTTCATAAAACGTAAATTTTTGAAAACATGACCTCAGTTGAAAATTTGTCTGTCTCAATAACATGCCAATCTTTCTGACAAGTAAAAAATGTGGTACAGTATTGTTCTAATGTAATCTTAATAATAAATCTGAATGATTTGTGCAGTTTTTACATTCTGCTGATAATTGTACAATTACTCATTTATATTCTATTGAAAGATCTTATAAACAAGAAATAAATTTCCCCAAAATTAATGCAAGTGTAAAACACAATTTTATTTTAAAGATGTATGTAACTATTATAATTAATAACCAAATATTTCTGTAAGGTAGCCCACCAATAGCTAACTTACCATTAACTCAATAATAAAAATTTGAAATTTACTGTCTTGACTTAGAAATTAAGCATAATTAATTTTTCATTTAGTTTCTTTCTAACTATAACTTTATTCCTCTATGAAGGTTTTATGCATCACAAAGCTGCCTCTCTCTTGATAAGTCTATGATTCTCAAATCACATTATGGACATGAGAAGCCTTTGGGTTACCTATCAACTCTGTACTGTTAGAATGAAGTATCCACATTTCCCACTTTTATGACTGATCAAATAAGTCAGTATTTAGCAAGTCAAGCACAAAATACTGTTTGTCTCCCTCGTTTTCTTACTCCCTCCCTTTCTTTCTGTGGCCTCCCTATTTTTTGCCTCTTTTTTTTTCTTCTTTCTTTTCTTATCATTGAATTTCCTTCAAGTAAGTTGACTTTCATTTTGCAGGAAAAGTAAAGCTCTCCTGGATTCATCACTGTTCCTCTAAAAAGCACTAAATATTGACATACCAATTTACAATGTAAAAAGAAATAGCTGTTGACCCTAAGAGCTCTACGATACATTAGGCGAGACAGAGAGGAACTTAATGGAACTTATGCAAAATGATAAAAGTTATAATATATGAATTTATGGAGAAACAAGATGTTTTACTATAGGTGTCAGCATGGATTCATGCGGAACATTGTCCTCAACATCTTAAACATTTAAGATATCCAAAATTGGGTCTGTTCTCTTCATCCTCACCTGGCTGCCAAAGAAACTTCTCTTCGAATTTATAGGTCAATATTTTCCCCATTTTGTTGTATCAAACGTCAAAATAAAAAACATGAGTCTTTTCATTAAATAAGAAATACATTGGAAAGTCATCAAGATTTTAGGGTAGCCAATATGCAGTTCATTATTAACTATAGACAGAACAGTCTGAGCTTTTGTCTTCTTGGCAATAGAACCACCACACTCCATGCTTTTTCTCATCAATGTTGAGAAAGCACCTTAGGTTTGAAATTCAGATAGAAAAGAGAACAAGACACTATGGCTCGGCTGATTATTTGACAAGCAGGTATGTCTCCTCACTCTTGTTATTACAACAGCTTTTGCTTTTAAATATCTGGACATCAAAAGAGCTGCAAATCAAAATGTCTCCTAACCCCAAAACAATCATTGACAGATCATTCTATGCAATTCCATCACTAGTATTAAAAAGCACTACCGGTTGTGGCAACATCAGACCATTAGATTCATAATGTATGCCAAAATAAAAATTATAACTATAATCTCATAACAAATTGGTCAATAAATAAAGAATAGGATACTGTAAAGTGTGAAATATCAGACTGAAAGTATAAAAAGGTACAATATTAAATGTAATTAGATTCTGATATGTAAAGGATGCACATTGTTAACTCGAGAGTAGCCACTAAAAATAATTTTAAAAGGCACAACTAAGAGAACAATAAAGGAAATAAAATGGTTCTCTAAAAACTAATAATTCACTCTTTATTGAATAGATTACTCAATGCACTTTTTGTTTAAAGAGTCAATAGTTTAACTGGAAAAGTTTGCATCCAAAAGGTGAATTCATTGAGAAGATACTGAGGAATTTCACGTAATTCCCGAAAGGGTTGAATTATGTAACAGCAAGAAGGACAGGGATACAACTGGGACTCAGGAACCAAGATATTAATTTCTCTGCCTATCTTTTGCCCCTTTTCTCCATGAGTGTCATGATCAATTTCTGTCAGTGTAACCTGGCTTCATAGCCAGAAAAGTAGCTGAAGAAAATTTCCACTTCTCAACTCCCAAAGCAGCCATTTCTGAAGGAGTGACCCTTTCTTGGTTCAATGCAAACAGTCATGAAGAAGGACTCTTTTTAAAATTTTTATGTATTTTTATTTTTATTTCCCAAACCCAGGATAATGTCTGTAGAGGAAGGACTCTTAATTGCTTAGTTTGAATTGATACTGTTAAAGTATGCCCCCATCTGGAGGACAAAATAAACTCCCCATGGCTAACTGAGGTGCTCAAAGTTAAAGCAGAATTAGAAGCCATGCTGTATGAGGCAGCAGTTCTGTAGTCTATGTTCTGGAAAAGATGTAAAAGTGTCAAAGGATCTCCCCTTGTATCATCAAGTCAACCCAGTTCCTGATGTCAGTACCAAGATAAACTGCAGCTGGAAACCAACCCACAATGGCTTGAAAAAAACATCTGATAGATATTTCTGGTTTGGGGTTTGGAAATCATTCATTCAAGGCTCTGCTATTTTGACCAATCATAGAAGAACAAGTTTAAATCCTGCATTTGCATAAAGAGATACGATTGAGAGCAAAAGCCAGAACTTTCCTTATTTAAACTAGACCCTTTGTTCTTCAGAGAGCACACTGTCACTTGTACTGAAGGCTGTGCCTCCCCAGTCTGCAGATTGCTTTTTTAATAGAATATAAAGCTTTCCCCCTTTCCTCTGCATATTTCAGTTTTTTTTTTTTGTTAACAATAGACTATGTCACCTATGGATAAATTAATAATGGCCCTAAGGATGGTGCCATGTGAAAATGTGCTATCTAATGGGAACTGAAAAGCTGAAGTAGCAATAGGAACAGTTTACCACAAAAAGGAAAAAGGTTATTTCTAGGAAAAAAAATTGAGGGTTAGCGAATTGCGAGACAAAACAATAGTTATCTATTACATGCAGTAAAATGTAATAAACCACCAGTAAGACACCTATTCAAGATCAGATGTTGATACTTACTCGATGGGAGGGTTTAATTCAATCAAATAACTACTCTGTGACTTGGTTTAATATTATGTAAAAGATTATATGAAGACTTTTCCCCTGTAAACCTTATTTGGTTGTCAAGGAGATGAAATGAGAGAATTAGAGTAAAAGTTATTTATCTACAAAGTACCATAAATTTGAGATATTTTGGTGTCATATTTGTATTATTATTTATATTATTACTGCTACTATGCTTCATAATTATTTATTGATACATTAGCTCATAAACACCAAAGTATGATGAATCAGGGAAATTATTTACCTCTTTAATTAACAATTTGCTAGAGTTCTCTTCAGTAGAAAAGAGGAAACAATTAATCATGAAGTATTTAGTGAAGGCATAAGAGAGACTTGACCTGCAATTAAACTCACTTGGACAATTCCAGACATTGATGAAAAAAAGACAAAGAGGAGGGAAAGGAAAAAAGGAACAGATGGAGAACACGGAGGAGGAATAAGAGGGGAAATACAATATCAGGCTAAGATAGAATTCTATGATTGAATCGAGGATGCTACAGGTCTGAGCACTATGATAAACTTGCAGTTGAGCTTAAAAGATGACGTATAAATAATCATTTCCAAACTTATAATTAAGCTGTGTTTATTTATTATTTTTATTTATTTATATATTTATTTATTGAGATAGTCTTGCTCTGTCACCCAGGCTGAAGTGCAGTAAGAAGGATTATCAATAGATTTGTACAAAAAAATTGGTTTAATCTAAATATGTTTCTTTCAATATAATTTAAGCAAGGCATGTGCAATATTTTTCTTGTCTTCCTAAAATGCTGTTATGCTATGGTTGGTAAACGATGCATTATTTTTTTACATACATTTTTTATTACTTCAGGCTCTTCTAAACTTTGCACTAAAAGTACTAAAATAATTAATTCTACAATGCATCCAATCAATTATATATTAAGTAAAAAAGGATAATAAATATTTTATGAAGATACATAGTTTTAGAATCTTCTAATTAAAGTTACATTTTGAAAACTGTAGATTTTTATTTTAAATTAATGTGTAGTATCTGATTTCTGTTTAGAATATCGTGTCATGATTACTGTTAAAATTAGTATTCGTTAATTAAGTATAAACTATCAGATTTTTCATATTTTAATACATTATTAGAACTGTTAATTGCACTGCATATTCTTAGAGAAATATACATATACATAGAAAGTAAAAGTATGTATAAATATGCATAGGAAGACAAATGAATTTAGGTGCCTCAATTTAGGAGGACCATAAAGCAATCAGATTAAATGCATAAAGAAAAAGGGTAAATATACACTTTTGTATACATATATGTATGTATAATATAAAAGTACACATATGTGTATTTCACATATATGTGTATTTCTGGAATACTCTACAATTAAAATTTTAAAAAGAAAATAATTGCGAAAAACTTACCATCATCTAAATCTTTGTAAGAAATTAACACTGTTTAATTAAAACCTTCTCTACCTAGCCATCTAATTTAAAATGGCAATCATCACACACACACACACACACACACACACACACACACACCCCAACACAGCAACACACACACACACACACTCAACATAGTGCTCTTTCTTGCCATATTTTTTCCATAACTCTTAATTACATGTTAACAGCCTAGAAGCTCTATTTATTTTGGTTTTGTTTTTTCAATTAATAATCACTAGATTGTGAGATCCTATTGTATCATAAACAACCTATCTAGTTTTTGTGTCTGGTTGCTGTCTAAACACTTGTCATTTCCTGTATGATAAGAGTGTTTTTCTTATTCATGAGCCTTTTGGATCACACCTGAGTTTATAGGAAGAAGACTGAGGCTGTCACTAGAAAGATTAACCATATAATTAGAGGGTTGGGCCGGCCCTCTTTGGGCTTTAGGCCGGCCCAACCACTGGGGAAGAGGAGATGGCCTAGAGATGGAGTTCAATCTAGTAGCTAATGATTCAATAAAATATAATTAAATCCAAATTTTAAAAAACTCCTGGTTGCTGAACATATTGATGTGCCAGGAGAATGACACATTTTCTGTAAATGGGCCACACAAGCTATTACAGAAGTATAAAACAGGCTATATATTTTATAATATCTTTACAAGTACAAAAATAGTGTGATGCCTTCATATTAGAAGGTTTTCTCTGAGTTACTGAACTAAGTTATTTACCAATCTTGTGCTTTATCCTAGAGACTCTTTCGTTTGACTAGAACTCATCATATTATAATTATTTGTGTAATTTTTTATCCCTTCAAAATTATAAACTCTAAAAGGTCAGACATCATGTCTATTGTGTGTATCAAAGCACATCACTGATAATAGTGCTTACTTCATATTGGATAGTCAGTAAACATATATTTAAATAAAATGGCAAAAATTATATATAGCTCACACCTCACTTAGATTTATACAGGGATTCAATGTAGAATATTTGTAATATAGCATGAGCCATATGCATTTCAAATAATTTTACTAAACATAATACATTTTAACTGAGCTTGTTTTAAAATTGTTTGTCAGTACTACATAAAGCAATCTACAGAACCAATGCAATCCCTATCAAAAGACCAATGACATTCTTCACAGAAATAGAAAAATTCCTAAATTTCTACAGAACCACAAAGACCCCGAATAGCCAATGCAGTACTAAGCTAAAAGGACAAAGCTGGAGGAATCACACTATCAGACTTAATATACTACCAAGTTGTAGTAACCAAAACAGCATAGTACTTGGAATAAAAACAGTCACATGGACCAATGGGACAGAATAGAGAACAACAACAAAAAACAAAACTCTGTATATATAGCCAATTGATTTTTGACAAAGATGACAGATGACAAGAAAACCCACTGGGGATAGGGCAGTGTCCTCAACAAACGGTGCTGAGAAAACTGAACATCCATATGCCGAAGAATGTAACTAGACCTTCACCACTCACCCTGTACAAAAGTCAACTCAAAATAGATCTAAAATGGAAGACTCAAAATTATAAAAGTACTAGAAGAAAACAAAAGGGAAATGTTTCAGGACGTTGGTCTGGAAAAGAGTTTATAAATAATGCCTCAAAGCACAGGCAACAAAACAAAAAATAAACAAATGGGATTAAATAAAACTAAAAAGGTTCTGCACAGCAAAGGAAACAATCTATAGAGTGAAAAGACAACCTACAGAATGAAGAAAATATTTGAAAACTATTCATCCAACAAGGAATTAATATCTAGAATACACAAGGAACTCAAACATCTTGATAGCAAAAAAAAAAAAAAATCCTGATTTAAAAATGGACGATGATATTTACAGACATTTCTTAAAAAGAAGAGATACAAATGGCCAACAAATATATGTTGTTCAATATCACTAATCATCAGGGGAATGCAAATCACAATCACAATGAAGTATTATCTCACCCTACTTAGTAGATTATTATAAAACAGACGAAACATAACAAATGCTGGAGAGGGCACAGTGAAAAGGAAACGTATAAACTGTTGAAGGAAATGTAAATCAGTACAGCCACTTCGTAGAATAGTATACAGATTCCTCAAAAAAATACAAATAGAACTATATGGTCCAGCAATCCCACTACTGGGCATTTATCCAAAGAAAAGGAAATCAGTATATTGAAGGGACATCTGCACCACTATGTTTATTGCAGGACTGTTCACAATTTCCAAGATATGGCATCAACCTAGCTGTCCAACGACAGATGAAAAGATAAAGAAAATGTGGTGTATATACACAATAGAATACTATTCAGTCAGAACAAGAATGAAATCCTGCTGCAACATGGACGGAACTCAAGGACATTATATTAAGTAAAATAAGCCAGGAACAGAACGTTGAATGCCACATATTCTCTGTCATATGAGGAAACTAAACAGAGATGATCTCATATAAATAAACATAGAACAGAGGATACTGGAAACCAGGGATGGAAGGGAGGAGAGACAGGGATAGGGAGAAGTTTGTTAAAGGTTACAAAATTATAGCTGGATGGGAGGAATAAGTTCTAGTGTTACACAGCACTGTATGAATATATTTAACTATGATATTTAATTTCAAACAACTAGAAGAAGGACATTGAATGCTACCAACACAAAGAAATCATATATATTTCACGGGATGGATGTGCTAATTGATCTGATCACTATATATTATATGCATGGCATCATTACTGTGTACCCCATAAATATGTGCAATTATTATGCGTTAATTAAAAAATGAAATACATTGTCAGTATTTACAAGCGTCCTTTCTAACAAATAATTTGAAATTTGTTTAAATACAAATTGTATGACTAAAAACCATTTGTCACCAATCATTACAGCATGTACTTCAGGTAATGCCTAGGATAAAAAAAGTAGCTTAATAATTTGTAATAAATAATTTGTCTGAACTGTATGTAAGATGGTTGTATCACACATTTCTGAGATGCAAATAGTAAGACTAAATGCTTAGTAAAGATATTCATTAAATATTTTAATATTTGTATCTGTGTTGTTATACTTCCAGGTCCAAAAAACTTTCGAAACCTGAAGAAGGTGTGTAGCATAATTTAGCAATAGCCAAAATTAATATTCAAGTACCTCTTTATTGTCTACTCCATTAAAAGTGTCAAGTTTTGTAGAATGTAATCAACTAGAATGCAAATGTCACACAGACAGCATCTTGATTAATGAGAAGATCAAAGAAGCACAATCCTTAGTCTTTAATATTCCAAATATGAAGCATTTGGGGAATTTGACACATTGGACTTCAGATGTTCTCTTTTCATGACAACATTATCAATGAGGAAAGAAAATTGAAACAATAATAAATTATCCTGACAGGGATTGTAACTACAGTGGAAAAGGACATATTTCCTATTGCAATTTATTTTGTCTACTTAAAAAATGTTGCTCAGAAATGGCAGAGAAGCACTGAAGAGTAGAATCTAATACATTTTATTTAAATTAAATTATACTTAATATGTCAGAAAACACATTCATGTACATGAAGAGCATTTTAAATGTTTTAAATGTTTAATTTTTAAATAGAAATGTTACTAATATGGTTGTAGGTATTTTTTGTATACCCTTCATCCAGCTTCCCCCTTATGTTAGCATTTTGCATAATGAAACACTTTATCATAAAGAATTAAATTCAGTAAAATACTATTAACATATAGAATTGTTTGAATTTCACCATTTTTTCATTAATTTCTTTTTCTATTACAGGATCCAATCTAGGATGCCACATTAAATTTTGTTGTCATGTCCCTTCAGCAGACTCCAATCTATAACTGTCTTTATTTGTCCCTTATTACCTTGCCTCTTTTGAGGACAACTGGTGAGATATTTTGTAGAATATTCCTCCATTTGTGTTTGACTTTTGTTTTCTCATGGTTAGTTTGAGATTATACATTGTCCAGAAGGATACTAGAGAGATGATATTCCCGTCTCAATATTTCACATTAGGGGATAGAATGATATCAGTATTCTTTTCTCACAACAATAACCATGACCACCTGGCTAAAGTGGCATTTTCTGGGTTTCTCCAATTATAAATTTATTGTTTTTTTCCCCTTGGTAATTACTAAATGTTTTTAGGGAGATACTTTCAGACTCTGCAAACATCTTCTTTCTGCTTAAATTTTTACCCACTAATTTAGCATCCATAAATGATATTCTAGTGATGATTTTCTATATGCTTCATTCTTTGTACATTGGAATCCATCTGTAAGAAATGTTTTTACTTATTTCCATTCATTTATTCTGAAAACTGTCTATTTAAACTGGTATAGATTAATATATATTTCTTTTCTTTTTGGATTATAATCCATACTATTGTTACTTATATTGTCATTCAAGTTGTTTCAACTTTGGCCATTGACAACTCTTTCAGGTTGGTGCTTTGAACATTGCTTTATTTATTTTTTCTTTTTTCCTTTTCTTTTCTTTCTTTTCTTACTTTCTGCCACTGCAAAATGCTCTAGGTTCAAAGTTCAACTTGCACTTTCCCTGCTCCAGGTCTAGAGTCATTTTATTGCAGTATGGTATATAGAAACCAAGAACTAGATTTGCTCATTGCTACTGCAGGGTCACTGCTTCTCACCTTTCTTAGTGAATAGATACAGCAAATACATGTATATATACTAAATACAAAAACTCACACTCATCCACACACAAAACTATACTTATTTCTCTAGTTGTACATATATTTTTGAAACGTGTGCTAGTCTGTACTGACACCTCCACCTAAAATCCAGCACCCTGGGCTGCATTGTAGACTTCTCCTTTTCCCTTATTTTATTTATAACTTCTTTCTCCTATAGTAAGAAACCTGTCCATAATTCATTTATATTGCATTCACTTATTATCTCCAGCCTATGATACAAATAGTTTCAATATTCCTAAACCTTACTCCTGTTTAAAATAAATTTATCAACTAGCAGTGTTTTGTGTGTTTGTTGTCTTTAGCTTTATGGTATCACACCAAAATATTGTTTTGCTAAGTTACATAGGTCAGCTTCCTTTTTTCCTATCATTTCAGTTGAGTTTTGGGATTCATGGTGATGCAGTTTCATTTGTTACAATCTCCTTTCCATTTTTCCCCCACAACCTAGTTGATTTTTTAAAATTTACACGACACACAAAAAATTATCTTCTGGGGCATATTATTCTGTCAGTTTTGACAAATGCATACAGTCATGTAGCAGTGAGCACAGTTTTGGAGAGAACAGTACGTTTGTCCTCAAGTCTCCTATACCACCTTTCTACTGACAACTGTTTATACTCACCCCCCTACCCTTGGGCATTAATGATTGGTTTTTTCTCCAGATTTTCTTTTTGTAAAACATCATATAAATGGAATCATACAATATCAGCCTTTAGATATTATTTTGCTTAGAAAATGCACTTTACATTTATTTATATTGTTGTATGTATCACTATTTTGTCCTTCTTGACTGTTCAAGAAACATTGCATTGTATAGATATGCCATACTTTGTATTACTAATTGAGGGACATTAGAAAAATTGTCCTCAATTTGGAGAAACTATGAATAATGTTATACTTGAATCAACATTTTTCTTAAATATTGGTTTATATTATAATGTAAAATTACAATATAAAATTATAAAATGAAATGTAGAACTTCTAGTGAATTTCTTTTACTTATTTGATTAAAATATAATTGTGGAAACTAACTTCATAGCTACTCTCACCAAGGCTTAGGGGAAAATTTTCTGTAATTTCAGAAATTATCTTATCTTTTGTGATAAGATAATTTAAGAATAAACTAAGCTTTGACCTTGTATAGTGAAAAATATTTTAATGTTCTAAAGAAATATGAGCTTGTTATAAAAGACTATTGAAATTAATATTTATAATTATTTTATCTCTAAATTATTTTTAATTATATGGCTATGCTATAAAAGTCTGAATTATTTAATATAACAGTCTGAAGTGATATTAAAATAAGTTCAGATTTCTTGTGCATATTTTGAACTAAATATCTCAAATAGTTAAATTACTTTATAAAATCTATTCGATTTAAATTACTCCAAACTGTTTTGGGAACAGAAAAGATAAGTTTTGTCTTCAAAACTTAGCTACTATCTATCTTTTCCTTCTAAAACTACATTTCAGAATACAAAAAGGATTTTTAAAAAGCTGGCTACTGTTTTACAATGGAGCTTTTTAATAACTTCAAAAATTATACTGATTGAATGGTTACAAGAGCAAGAACTAGGAAAAGATAATTTAAATAATCCTTCCTTTATCTGGACATGCTGGCATTTTTTATCTCATAAATGAAATTTTAATTCATTGCCATTTTAATAGGTAAAACAAATGCTTTTGTTAGAAGCTAGTTTTCTCAACTTCAATTAAACTTCAGCATGACTTTTGTGCATAAGGACGTACATAGAAAATATAAACCAATCACATATTTTTTCACCAACTTTGTAGAACTTCATATTGCTGTCATCATTTTCTATGTGTAGTTAAAAATGTCATTAAATTTTGTGCAGTTTTTTGCATTTTCACTTTTAAAATGGGTTTGAATTTATTATTTTTTTCTAGTAAATACTTCTACAAAATCATTAATCATAGTGTGCCAATTTGTTAGATATAAACTTGAAAACGAGTCAAGTAATAAACCTCTCAAAATATATCAAATGATCCATGGATGCTTTTTAGCTCTGTATAAAGTGGAATAATAGTACATTATCTAACGAAGACAGTGAACACTGAATAATTTATAATTTATGTAATTTTCAAAACTAGACATTTTTTCCTTTAAAGATCCATTAATATCAAATTGTCTTTGGCTGTTGAAAGTACTATTATAGGAGTTTTATAAGTACCCCAAAGGTTTGTAGCACAATCATCTAAACTCTTGTGATAAACTTAGATATAGTAAATAAAATTAGGACTTCCCCTTAGGGAAATGTATTTCATTTTAGCTAAAATTAAACTATTCACATAATCCCATGATCTGAGAATTATAGCATATGGTATGTCTATTTTTGTATAACTGACACCAAACAGGAGTGAAAAAAAAATTGGCTATAGACAAGGAATAATAATCAAATTCACTCTAAAATACTATCAAGTCATCATAAGCTGAATAATAAAAACCTCACTTTATAAACTCCAGGCTGTTTATCTGCCAGTGCTGTCGTTGTTGTTTTTCTTTTAAAATACTATTGCAAATATTTAAAACCAAGTGGTCCTAATATTATTGGTATTCATAAGGTATTCATGGCCAGTAATGAACTCCTAATTTATTGTTGTCCACAATGAATTCCAGAAATTATAGTTAACAATTACACATTGATATAACCTGAAGGTGTCTTAATATCATTGGATGCTCAATGTAAAGAACAAAGGTAAATTTATAAACTCTTCTTTAAATATATATATTAAAAATATACATACTTACCTATAAAAATGTTTATGTAAATGTATTAGAGATAGGGTTTCAATATGTTGAACAGGCTAGTCTCAAACTCCTGACCCTAAGCAATCTTCCTGCCTCAATGTCCTGAGTAGCTTTGGATTACAGGCATGAGCCACCACACCCAGCTGCAATCAACTCTTCTTGATTGGAAGCTCTGCCAAATTGGGTATTATTCACATTACCATTTTCCTTAGCCAATAATTGAGACAAATAAAGACAGAAGATAATTTCTACTATCTAAAAATGGTACTTTTATGTTATATTAAATCACCAAAAATATTGTAAGATAAACTAATATGTTATAGATTGATTTTCAAATATTTATAAATTTTTCTTATTATTTTTCAAATGACATATCCTGGGAATAACGGTATAAAGAAAAAATTATTATGTTTTCTCTTTTACTTTATTTTATTTAGCCTCAAAGTTTTGTTTTTTGATATCCTTTTCTTTTTTTTAATTGTGGTATTTGATGGCAATTGTTTTATATATTTCAATTGTTTTTATATAAATAATGCCAAATAACAGTTGTGAAACTGTTGTTATAATTATGGACTTATCCTGAAGGGTCCTTGTCAGCAGCATCTTGGATCTTCTGTTCTTCACTCAAATGATTTATAAATAGAGTGTTCTCAGTGCGGTCATTTTAAAAACTTTTGGTTGAATTTTTCAATAACTGCCTGATATGATTTCTGATTTATGTGTTCTTTCTTTAATGTTCTCTTTTTCAGCTCTATTATTCTGTATTCAAAAACTACCTTTCCTTATTTCTAAGCCTCTCAATTCTCCATTTCTTAAAGTTAAAATTCAGATTCTAGATTCTTATAACAGTTGAGAAAAAAATCACTTTTATCATGGAGATAGTTTTAATTTTTTTTGCATATTTTGAGTTTCATTGAATGAACAAATGTGATTATATGTGATTATATGTTCCTATATTGCAAATCTTTATTGTATGAATAGGTCTTTTCTAAAGACAGGTCCTAAGGACATAGCATGACATGTTTAACCTAAAACAACAACAACAACAACAACAACAACAAAACCTTACTCTTCAATTAAAGGAATAATTTGTTTATATTTCTGATTTTAAAGTTTTTGTCATTTGACTTTCCATCTTAAGTCTAATGTATGATGATGAAATTCCAGGAATCCTGCCTTTTCTGTAACTTCCATTGCCAACACACTAATATTCATTGTCCTTCCACATTCTTTCTTCAAGCAGCAGTAGAACACAGTTATTTTCTTTCTTGAAGAAGTTGTTTTTCAGTAAAAAAAAAACCAAAAAAAACCCAAAAAAATAAAAATAAAAAAAAACCATATTCACAGTGGCAACCTCAGGGCAGTCATCCAGACTACATAAAGAGTTTCTTTTTGGCAAGAATAAAACTTAGGATACATATAATATACGTATAACTCTCTGAAAGAACACAATGCTTCTCCAGAGTTCAGATTTGAGATTTTTAAAAAAATAAATTTTATATATTTATTTATTTTCATATTTTATTATACTTTCAGTTCTGGGATATATGTGGAGAATATGCAGGTTTGTTACATAGGTATACATGCGCCATGGTGGTTTGCTGCACTCATCAACCTGTCATCTACACTAGGTATTTCTCCTAATGCTATCCCTCTCCTTCCCCCACCCCCTGACAAGCCCCAGTGGGTGATGTTCCCCTCCTGTGTCCATGTATTCTCATTGTTCTCACTCCCGCTTATGAGTGAGAACATGTGGTGTTTGGTTTTTTGTTCATGTGTTAGTTTGCTGAGAATGATGGTTAAGGACAAACAGCATTCAGTAAAACTTAACCTGTCACAGGCATAGAATACCAATCGCTTTTTGCAGCTGAGAAAATATGCATGTTTTACTACTTCCACTTGCTTCTGCCTTAAATCTTGCAAGCTTGCCTCAGTCCCACTCTTCACTGAACAAGCAGGGACCATGTCATGCTTTCAAGGCACATCGTAGAGCAGGAAACTTCTTGAATCTCCAATTCAACCTATCACCTAGATAGGCAGAACTGCTCCAACTTGGTATTTTTTCTTTATTTCTCGGTTTCATATTCTGTCACATATTCCTCACTGAGTTGCTTAAGAGCAGATGTGTATTCCATCTATAATAAACATCTTCTAAAGAGGTAACAAGTGCAACTCTCAGTGACCATTGCATGCCAATAGAAGACTTTTGCCATTTCGGAAGTGATAAATGATATTCATAGCTATAGGCTATTTTAATAGACACGTGTCTAAGAATGCAATTTTCTTTAATTTCTTTTTTTTTTTTTAAACTGAGACTTCAGCTCACCAAGGTGGTGAAGCCTTAGACTTAGTCAATAAAATGACTTAACCCTTTTCCCTAAGGTCACATCTGTAATTTTTGATTTCTTAAAAATAAAGGCATTAGAGAAGTGGTCACTAAGATCAGGACCTGGTGCCACTGAGACTTACAGACTTCCATCTCCTCTTTGGTTAGAACCCAGTCAGCTTACTCCTGAGTCTTAAAGTCTTCCCTTTTTATTAAAAGTCTTCTTCACATTCCTTATCCTCCTTTCTCCTCTTCTCTTCTCTTCTCTCCCCTCCTCTCCTCTCTCCTCTCCTCTCCTGTCTCCTCCCCTCCCCTCTCCTCTCCTCCTCTCTTCTCTTCCCTTCTCTTCTCTTCTCGCTCTCTTTCTCTCTCTCTCTCCCTCTCTCCCTGCCCACCACCCTCCATTACACTTTAAGCTCAGATAAATATGCGGTTCTTATTCTATAGTGATGCATTAGAAAACTCTGAGGATCTGAGTCTCTCCAAGGCTCTCAGACATAATTAATAGCCATTTCTGTGTTTGTTATTGTTGTTGTATATTTGTTTTGTTTTGTTTGGGTTGAAGAAGAATGGTGGACATGCCAATCCTTATGTCTCTATCTGTGAAAAGAAGTACACAGGGTTTCTGACAGCTTATTTTCTAGAGCTTATGTGTAGGGGATAGAGGAAAATGGAAAGTGGACAAAGTTTCCAAATCTCCTGGGTTCTAAAATTTCTTCTCTTCCCCTAAAACTCTTGAACTCTTATGAAGGTGGAAGTAGATGTAGGGGTAAAATTGGTAAATACTTTGAAGTTACTATTCTGTCTTGCTGCAAAGGTGAGGATTATAGTTGCAATTAGAAGCAATAATTGAATTATAGCATTGTCTACACTTGCAGGTATTGTATACTAAACATATACAAGTATAAAACAAACAGAAAATTATTTGTATAAATTAGTAAGCAGTTTCGAGAATAACGTCATTGAAATATATATCTGGAATTATTGGGGAAATATTAACTGTAATTTAATTGCTAGGAAAAAATCAGAATTCTAAAATAGAAAACACGTTTTTATTATTGCTTAATAGAAAATTTGCATCTCTAATTTTTATATTTATTATTATGGGATCAGTATCAAGCAACCTCATTATTTTCATTAACTTTCATATTCCTGGGAAATACTGTAGCCTGTTTAAAAGCTATTGGTTATTAAAATGGCACATTCATGATAATTCAGGAGTAAATGTTAGGTTTTGATACATAACAATAAAATTTTAAAGGTATCGGGTTAATGAACATATCATTACCACAAATTCTGTAATCCTAAATGAGTACAGAAAAGTTTTAAAATAGCATATTTTGAAAAAGAATTCAATAGTTTCAGCCAAACTAGGAAAAAGTGTTTTAAAAAATGGGATACACTACTTTTTTTCTGTCTTAAGAAAATTAAACATCTAATTAAACTAAAGAGCTTCTGCACAGCAAAAGAAACTACCATCAGAGTGAACAGGCAACCTACAAAATGGGAGAAAATTTTCGCAACCTACTCATCTGACAAAGGGCTAATATCCAGAATCTACAATGAACTCAAACAAATTTACAAGAAAAAAACAAACAACCCCATCAAAAAGTGGGCGAAGGACATGAACAGACATTTCTCAAAAGAAGACATTTATGCAGCCAAAAAACACATGAAAAAATGCTTATCATCACTGGCCATCAGAGAAATGCAAATCAAAACCACAGTGAGATACCATCTCACACCAGTTAGAATGGCAATCATTAAAAAGTCAGGAAACAACAGGTGCTGGAGAGGATGTGGAGAAATAGGAACACTTTTACACTGTTGGTGGGACTGGAAACTAGTTCAACCATTGTGGAAGTCAGTGTGGCGATTCCTCAGGGATCTAGAACTAGAAATACCATTTGACCCAGCCATCCCATTACTGGGTATATATCCAAAGAACTATAAATCTTGCTGCTATAAAGACACATGCACACGTATGTTTATTGCGGCACTATTCACAATAGCAAAGACTTGGAACCAACCCAAATGTCCAACAACGATAGACTGGATTAAGAAAATGTGGCACATGTACACCCTGGAATACTATGCAGCCATAAAAAATGATGAGTTCATGTCCTTTGTAGGGACATGGATGAAATTGGAAACCATCATTCTCAGTAAACTATCGCAAGAACAAAAAACCAAACACCGCATATTCTCACTCATAGGTGGGAATTGAACAATGAGATCACATGGACACAGGAAGGGGAATATCACACTCTGGGGACTGTGGTGGGGTGGGGGGAGGGGTAAGGGATAGCATTGGGAGATATACCTAATGCTAGATGACGAGTTAGTGGGTGCAGCGCACCAGCATGGCACATGTATACATATGTAACTAACCTGCACAATGTGCACATGTATCCTAAAACTTAAAGTATAATAAAAAAAAAAAGAAAATTAAACATGTTGAGTTAATTAAACTAAACTGATTTGTGTCGCAGAAATAAAAAACAGATTCCTACACATTGCAGTTCCAAGAGGTTATCTCTATAGAATATTTTGATTTTATATATTTCAGAGGCTGGAATTTGATGGCATTCACCTGGGAAGTTTGCACAAACCTAAAAATTACACTGTCACTTAACTATTTGCTGAGATTCAGATTGAGTGAATTTCAGTACAAGACAGGGTAACTGATGTGTTCACTTACTTTACATTATTACAAATTACTTGTCCAGTCATCAGTAGAGAGATTTATGGCAATTTTACTTTTTGAAAAATTATACGTTTTCTATTTAAAGGCTAATATAATCCCATTTTTATCCAGATAGCATTAGACCATACTGCTAATACAAATGAGATCTCTCTTTTGAAGAAGAACAGATAGAACATTGCAATCAAAAATATTTATGAGATTTCAAAGCCTGGGATGGAATAGCCTCCTATTAGAAACATAAAAGGCCATCTAAAGTAAATTTAATAATAAACAAACAAAATAAAGAGCACATCTTCAGAGTCCAAGATCCCAGACAGAAGGGAACCCCATGAGCCACCATTCTGCAACTGTTTCATTCTTCAGAATATTTGTTGATTTTCAAAGATCAACACAACTCTTCTTGCTGAAGGTTGCTGCCAGAGGGCAGATAACCCAGCAACAATGTTGGTGATCTCAAAAGATTAGGGTGAGAAAACTTAGAATTTTGTGCCAAAGCAGCCGGCACTTCAGTGGAGCAAGCAGGAGAAGCTGCAAGGAATAAGCCTGTCCCTTTAAAATTGTTCACTGAGGCATTTGCCACATTCTTCACTATACAGAGCAGGTTGTTAGGTGGGGGGGGAATGGAAATGAACACACGTTGGTGAGAATATGTAAAAATATGTAACCCTTGTACTTTGCTGGTGGAAATGTTACATTAAATGATGCAGACACTGTGGAAAACAATTTGGCAGTTCCTTAAATACTTAAACACAGAGTTATCACATAATCCAGCAATTTCATTCCCAGATACATACCCAAACAAATTGAAAGCAGGGGCTCAAACAGACAGATATCAATGTTCATAGCACTTTTATTCACAATAGCCACAAGGAGGAACAACAAGTATTTAACAACAGATAAATGAATAACCAAAATTTATATGCACACAAAGGAATAGTATTCAGTATTAAAAAAGACTGACAATGTTATACATGCCTACATCACAGATGGACCTTGAAACATGCTAAGTGAAATAAGCTAAACATAAAAGGACAATGTTTTTATTCCATTAATATGAGTCATGTAGAATAGGCAAATCCTTAGCCACAGAGATTAGAATAAAAGTTACCAAGGTCTGGGAGTAAGAGACAATGGAGAATTGCTATAATGGGTACAGTTTCTGTTTGGGATGATGAAAAAGTTCTGGAAATGGATAATGGCAAAGGTTGCAAACATTGTGAATGTACTTAATGCCACTGAAGTGTACACTTAAAAATGATTGAAATACTAAATTTTGTGCTATGTATATTTTACCACAATAAAAAATAAAATAAATACACCCAAAAGAAACATAGGCAGAATACATGAAAGAGCACTTCACTTTGGAAAACATATAAATTAACAATAAAAATTTTAAAAAGCATTCTATCTCATCATATGAGCTATTCAAATTTAAAACATTTTATTTTAATTTGCATACACTAGTATAGCTAAAATAAAAGAGACTGATCATACAATCATACCAAGTATTGACAGGGAAAAGAGACAACAGAAACCCTCATCCACTGCTGGTAAAATTGGAAACAGGAAATCTGCATGTTATCCTCAAATGAAGGTGAAAATATGCATATCCCAATAACTCTCTTTCTAGGTAGATCCAAGAAGAAATACACATGTACAATAATGCTCATAGTGGTAGTATACATCATGGTTCCAAATAGGAAATTACCTTGACGTCCATCAATTTTAGTACAAATCAACATATTTTGTTATAATTTCATGCAATGGAAAATTATAGAGCAACAAAAATGATTGAAGAGCAACTACAATGTTGCATGAAAGTAACCTGTGATGTCAAAGGTCAAAATGTCAGTTACCTTCATGAGAGGGAGAGAGAATGAGGAGTGCTTCTGTAAAAGTGATCCCTACTTGATATAAATTCAGGTCACCACGCTTCGTTTACCTTTTAAAATTCACTTACTTGTTCAGGTGCACATTTACAATTTGTACAAACACACACACAGGTTAAACTGTGTCAAAATTATATTTATTTGTAACTGTCAGTTGATCTTCACCGGAAGCCTAAGTCCTCAACATTTTCTTCAAAGCATTTAACTCTACAGGGAAATAGTAAAGGGGACTTCTGTCCTATACTCCAGTCAGTAATCGACAGCTTGTCCCCTTCATAAGCAATTCACTCTTGCTATGTGTAAATAAGTGTACTGAGGTGGGAAACATTGTATCTGAAACTCCAACCACTTCTAATATTCATCGCTAAAACCTACTATTTACTTTATTTCCCCATACCTACCATCACTTAATATTAGACATATGAACTGAAAATAAACTGATTTCATCACACACTTAACTGAATCCTGCCTTTATACATGCTCTGTTCCACATCCTTTTTATTTTTGTTTCAGTGCTCCAAGTGACATTGTATAACAATAATATAGATCCTTACTAGAACTCAGATTTTAAAAATATCCAAAGACAAAAGCATAATTAACCCGATATTCATTATTCTTCCTGATACCGAACAAACTGTCTAAATATGTTACGTTTTGGTAGTAATGATGAAAGGAAACTTTTTGACCCAAACCAACAAGAAATAGAATAATTGATTCACAATTTCATTAATGGGTAGTCAAGGCTAGATTTCGGCTGTTCATTTGATGGTAAAATTGAGTATAAGACATAGCTTCAAAGGGCATTGTTAACATGACCATCAGATTCTCAGCCATTTAATCAAAGAATCAGATTTTTTAAAAAATGTTGGATTCCTCATAAAATAAATTGAAGAGCTCCTTTTAATTCTCAGGGGCATACATGGCATTTAAAAATATTCCACAAATTGTGGAATAATTTATCAGTGAGACAATTGAGGTTGAGATTTCTTTGGCAAAAGTCTTAATAATGAATTTTGATTTATTCAATAGATATTAGACTAGGCATATTTTCTATTCCTTCTTCTGGTCAGGCCTAGTAAGGTATATTTGTCATCCAAGAGTTCAAATTTATTAGCATTTTTTGGGGGGGAGCATTTTTTGATATCTCCTGGCATTGGGCTGATTGACTTTCTGACCAATCATCCCATCTCCACACTATTTTCTGTTACACTCACCATGGCTCATCTCTGCATTGCGATTAACTGCTTTGAGCAGCCTGTATATTTTATTTTAGTTTTTGAAACTGTGGATTTTTCTTCTTTCTCTTAGAGTTGCTGAAAATGGACTTTTCTGACTAGTTGTTATTTGCACCTTGTGAAAGATAAGAAGAATATTTCTGTCTCCTATAATTCTGTTCATATCACAAGTCTTCTCTATTTTGAGAATAAAATTAAGAAAAAACTGTTTCCATATTTAAAGCCTTTTGAATGTTTTCCTCTAAAACAGTCCTCAGAGTTAGCAGTGTAAAATTCAGGTTATTTGTAAAATTTTCCAGATTCAAGAATTTACCTTACGCAATGAAGAAAAAGTGCAAGAGATAGTATTAAATTCTAGAAAACTCAAATAGTAAAAAATAGTGGTAATAAAACAGTAAGCTTGATAGCACAGGAAACATGATTTGGAGTATTTTCTGAAAAAAAAGAAGGAAATTTCACATGGCAAAGTTTTTGCTCATGGCTTAGGCAGTAAAATTAATGCTTTATAAGATGTCTTTAAACAAACTTATTTTAAGCTCCGGGTATATGTGCAGGTTAATTACATAGGTAAACGTGCATCATGGGGATTTGTTGTACAGGTTATTTCATCACCCTGGTATAAAGCATACTACCCATTATTTTTTCTGGTTCTCTTCCTCCTTCCACCCTCCACCCTCCATAGGCCCCAGTGTGTGTTGTTCCCCTCTACCTCTATGTGTTCTTGTTTTCTCATAATTAACCTGCCATTTATATGTGAGAACACACTGTATTTGGTTTGCTTTTCCTGTGTCAGTTTGCTAAGAATAATGGCCTCCAGCTCCATCCATGTCCCTGCAAGGGACATGACCTCATTCTTTTTTATGGCTGCATAGTATTCCATGCTGTACACGTCCCACATTTTCTTTATCCGTCTATCTTTGATGGACATTTAGGTTGATTCCATGTATTTGCTATTGTGAATAGTGGTGCAATGAACATATGCATGCCTGTGTCTTTATAATAGAACAATTTATATTTCTTTAGATATATACTTAGCAATAGGATTGCTAGGCTGTCTCAGCCCAAAAGATTATTAGGCTGAAAAACAACTTCAGCAGTCTCTGGATACAAAATCAATGTGCAAAATACACTGAAATTTCTATACACCAACAAGAGTCAAGCCAAGAGCCAAATCACAAATGATCTCCCATTCACAATTTCTGTAAAAGAATAAAATACCTAGGAATACAGCTAACTAAGGAGGGGAAACATCTCTACAAGAAGAACTACAAACCACTGCTCAAATAAATCAGAGATGATTCAAACAAATGGAGAAACATTCCATGTTCATGGGTAGGAAGAATCAATATCATTAAAATGGCCATACTTCCCAAAGCAATTTATAGATTCAATGCTATTCCCATTAAACTACCATTGATATTCTTCACAGAACTAGAAAAAAATTATTTAAAAATTCATATGGAACCAAAAAAGAGCCTGAATAGACAAGGCAATCCTAACCAAAAATAAATAAATAAATAAATAAATAAATAAATAAATAAATAAATAAATAAATAAAAGGTGGAGGCATCAATCTGCCCCACTTCAAACTATACTACAGGTGACAGTAACCAAAACGGCATGGTACTGGTGCAAGAACAGACAACAACCATTGGAACAGATGAGAGAACCCAGAAATTAGACTGCACACCTATAACTACCTGATCTTTGACAAACCTGATAAAAACAAGCAACAAGAAAAGAATTCCCTATTCAATAAATGGTGCTGGGATAACTGGCTAGACATATCCAGAAAATTGAAACTGGACTCCTTCCTTATATCACATACAGAAATTAACTCAAGATGAATTAGAGACTTAAATGTGAAACCACAAACTATGAAAACTCTGGGAGACAACCTTGGCAATACCACACAGGACGTAGCATGGGCAAAGATTTCATGACAAAGATGCCAAAAGCAATTGCAACAACAACAAAATTGCAAATGGGATCTAATTTAACCAAAGAGCTTCTGCACACAAAATGGGAGGAAAATATTGCTTCCTATCAATCTGACAAAAGTCTAATAGCCAGAGTCTATAAGAAACATAAATTTATAAGAAAAAATAAACAACCCTATTAAAAAGTAGGCAAAGGACATGAAAGGCAAAGGACATGAACCGACACTTCTTAATAGAAGACATATTGGGCTTAAGACTTAGGTCATCAGCTGATCGGTGCAGCATACTGCCATGGCACATGTTTACTTAGGTAACAAAGCTACCCATCCTGCACATGTACCCCAGAACCAAAAATGAAATAAGAAACTATCAAAGCATGTGCTTTCTAAGCCACTTTTACATTTTTGTGATTTTTTTGTTTACTTCCTTCTTGTTTGTATTCTCAGGACAGAAGCTCCCATTTATACCTGAGTGTCATTTTAGAATTATAGGTTACATGCCATTTGTGCTATTTATACTTTTGCTGTATTTCTAAGAAAAGACATGGAAGACTTATTTTTTGTTCTGCAAATAAGTTACAGATATCATTAATAGGCAAGGGATACATTTTGAGCTATGAGTCCCATTTTGGTGTTTCGAATGTAATACCCAGAACACTGTCATTTATGTGAATGCTGGCATTGCTTTTCCCTGTAGTAGAATGCTCACCAGGTGAAACTGATTCTTTTGGGGCAGCAAAAATATAGCTCTAAAAAGGTATATCAGCAAAGTACAGTTACAGTGCCAGCAGTTTTCACCCTCTGTGCTAAATACTGATTTTTTTATGCTTTATTTCCATTCCCATAATATGGACATTGATGGGATAGAGCTTACTGTTTTAAAACACTACCAACATAAAGTTTATAAGCGACATTCTGTAAAATAAGATTTAACAGTGAAATCTACCACATAGCTTAGCAAAATTACTGCATTTATTTAATATAGCAAGAGTTACTATATATGCTAATTCACCATCAAAAGGTAAACCTCAACTCTTTTCAAATTGTATTAACTCTGCTTCAGTTATTCATTCTCATTCTCTTTTTACTTTTGTCAGTTTTGAGAAAGAAAAAGCCTAGAGGTATAATGGAGATAGCTGTGATTAAAAATGAAACCTAAAATATAATTCTAAAAACAAGTTTTCAACAGTATGTGAACACCATAAAATATTATTTCCCTGAAGTGTGCTTGTCAAAATGTAAACATCAAAATCTAGGTGTTTCTTAAATCTATTTTGGATTTTTACTTCAAGACATCCAAAATAATTATTTGTTGTCTTTGGAACTCAAAGAGTAACTTTTATGTTTTTGCTTTTCTACAAAAAGAAGTATTAAGGGAGGATTCGATATTGAACACATTTTCATGATACATATTTTTAAAAAGATAAACTAATAAAATTCAATCATTCTTGTATACATAACTGTCATCATAATAAAAAGACAGGTGTAAATTTTAACCTTTTGCTTCTTTCTGCAAACATATCTTCTGACCAAAATCTGTTTTTCAAGAAAATATACATGAATTGGGCCCATTTTTGTCTTCTATAACTATTCTAACTACTAATAGGTGGATTATTTGAGATTCTTTATACTTCCACAAAGAAGTTGCATATGAAAGTTAGTACTACTGATTAACTTGACATCTGGCAATGTCTCCTGTTATTACCATTGCAACTTGACTCTAAAACACTCTAGTAACAAAGAATAATATGAAAACTTAAAATAGAATTATAAACTAGAACTTAAAGAAAATACTATTCTAATGCCAGAAGAGATTTTTTAAATTTCAATGCCAACCAATTAGATTAAATAAATGGAAGTACCTTTATGCCAGTGAAAATTAAATTTTATACTAGGCAGAAAACTTGTCTCACTTCTCTCTACCTTATAAGGTATACTGCATGACTGACTGCTGTTTTGTGCATAAGATTTGTACCCCCCCTCCCATTAGAAACTCTCATCCTCCATTTCGTCAAAAACTACAATTTTTGGAAAATAATTGGGTAGAGGTGTTTGGGTTGGTAGTGACTCATTTTTGAATCTCAACTGGTGAAATCCTAAGAGCTATTACCAGAGGGAGTGGAAAAATGGAAAAAACCTTATAGTTGAACATTTCGGAAACAGCACTTAATACATTTAGGGCACTGTGAATGAATAGCATAATATTTAAGAACACTGGTTTAGTTAGGAATCAGAAAGTCCTAGATTTTGATCCTTAATTTTCAAATTGCTATTTATTTGGTCACATTATTTACTCAGTATATGCTTCAACTTCTTCCTTTTAAAATTACAATAATTTAATTATTTCTCATATGGTTGTTGATCAGGAGGGGAACACAAAACATTTAGTCCAGCATCAGGTACATTCAGTGCACCATGGATGTTTTATTTACTTTACTTTTTAGGGGTTGTTATGCTATTGCGATTCAAGTTTCTGTCAGTACTAGAAAGCTTCCCAAACACTGAAGCATGGGCTATGAGCTGGATGTATTAGATTGTTGGTTATTCAGTTGAACAATCCAAGAAAAGGGTTCTACCAGGAATAAAGTAGACAGATGGCAGATACACAGAATATCCAAGTTAATGCCTGTAGGCAACTCTGGATAGAGGAAAATATTTCCTATTGTGAGGTAACGCTTTTCTAATGGAACCTATAATAATATCACCAAATAAAGTAAAGGAAAATTCATACTAGATATGTAGATCTCTGATAATCTATTGAAAGATCAAGGGGGAAAGAAAAAAGAATGGCATCTAAGATTATGAGGATACATTGCCTCTCAAAACAGCAGCTAAAAACCATCAGAATAAAAGGAGTCAAAACTGAAAAAATAAAAAGATGAAAAAAACTGAATGAGATGAAAAAAGGCAATGACAAGATAAGAAAATATAAAAATAAAATAGCAAAATACAAATCCATGAAGGACAGCTGACACCAAGAAAAATTACAACTGTGATATGAAGAAAAATATCATGGAAATTCCTCTGAAAACAAAAAAATGAAAAAAATAAAAGTAATGAGGGAGGAGATTACAAATTCTATTATTTTGTGCTTTCTTCAAATATATATATTGAATTCTATTTCAGAAATGAAAACACATCTTTAAACAAAGTTATCACAAACAACCTCTGCTTCTTAGGTGCTTATATTAAGGTAGGGAGAGAGAAAATAAATGATACATTGTTAACTATACATAAATAATAACTCTTACAGTATATAAAAAGATATTTTCAAAGATGATGTTTGAGCAAATATTATGTGACCTCTGTAAGAGAGTTATCATGTGACTATCTGAGAGAAGAACTTTCCAAACATAGGGAACAACCAATACAAAGCTTTGAGATGAGAGCTCTTGGAATGTTTAAAGAAAAGCACTAGGACTACAACCAGTTGGAAAGAAGACAGGAAAGAGTTAAATAAATATAGCTGTTGTAAATCATTAAAGCTTATTGCAGGATTTTGGCTTTCATTTGAAAGATTTAGAGGAATGAAATGAAAGGCATCTGCCTGCTGTGTTCAAAATACAATACAGGGTCAAGGATACAGGAGGTAAGAATGAAAGCAATATTACGGTAAGAAATGTTGTTGTTTGGACCAGAGCAGTAGGAGAAGGAAAGAGTTTGAATCTGGAAAGAGTTTGAAGTTAGAGTCAGCATAATGTCTTGACAAGCTGTAAAGGGATCTGAGAAAGTGGAATTGAGCTGCCATTCAACTGAGATGGAAAAGGTCGTGAGTGAAGTAGTTTGGAGGAGAAGGTAAGAAGCTCAGTGTTGGCCACATGGAGTTTGTGATTACTTTCAGACATTCTAGGAGGGCTGGGGAGTTGGATACTCAAGTCTGTAGTTTATATCTAGACCGTAGACATACATTTGTGCATTATGGGTAAATAGGCAATTATTAAAAGCTCTGAGGCTGGCTGGCATCATGGGAATGTGAATGTAGCTCAAAATAAAGAAATTGGGGAGCAAAGATGACTGATAAAGAGTGATGAATTTTGAGTTGGTAGTTTAATTTTTTTCCCCAGCACTGTAAAGTTGTTCTCCAGTCTTATGGTTGCCATTGTGTGTAACGTGATATCAGTGGTAATTTATATTATTTGCATAATTGTTCACTGCACACAGTGTGTTATTTTTCTCTGGTTGTTTTCAATATTTTAAGTACTTTTTTTAAAATTTTCATTTCCATTGTTCAACTATCATGTGCTTAGGTGTTATTCCATTTTTATTTTATTATTTTATTTTATTATTAATATTTTATTATTAATTAGTATTTATTATTAGTATTAGTATCAATTAGTATTTTATTATTAATACTTTTTGATATTCACTTATTTTTTGAATTGATAATTTTATGTCTTTTACCACTTTTTGGAAAATTTTGCCATTAAATGTCAGACATTTCATTACCTCGCCTCTCAATTTTAAGAATCCAATAATATATGTGCTTGAATGTTTGAATATTTGATATTATCTCTCATGCCCAGAACACATCATTTTTTTCATCTTTTAAAAATCTCTATTCTTCAGATTAAATGATTTCTATTCATTTAATTTCAAATTTAACAACTTTTTTCTCTATAATCTCCATTCTTCCATTAAACTGACTTGGTGAATTTTTGTTTCAAATACTGTATTCCATTCATTTAAAAAATTTTATTAAAGAGTTTATACATCTATGCTAAGATTTTCTATCTTTTTATTTATTTGAGTATATTATTCTTAACATCCTTGAGCATAGTTATAATAGCAAACATAAAACTCTTGTTTACTATTCTGATATGTATATTATCCTAGATCAATCTATGCTAATTTTTTCTCTCTTAAAATGGGTCATATTTTATTCTTTTTTGTATGTTAAATAAGTTTGGAATCTATTCTAGACATTTTGAATGATATGTTATATAAAGTCTGAATTCTATAATGTTCCTCTAAAAATCAGCTACTTAAATTAACATGCAATTGATCTGGCTGAAATAAAATTGTTAGAACTTTGTCTTCAGTGTCTGGTAGGCCAAATTTCAAATCAGTAATTTTTATTTTTACCAATTTACACTATTCATCATTCAGTCACCTCCCAGCAGGCCTCTCCTCCAACACTGGGATTTACAGTTCGAGGTGAGATCTAGGCAGGGACACAAATCCCACAAATCCAAACCATATCACCCAGTAATGGGATTGCTGAGTTGAAGGGTAGTTCTGCTTTAAGTGTGAGAAATATTCAAACTGCTTTCACAGTGGCTGAACTAATTTACATTCTCATCCCCAGTGTATAATTGTTCCCAGATGCCTTGCCAGCATCTGTAATTTTTCAAATTAATAATAGCCATTTTAACTGGTGGGAAGTGGTATGTCATTGTAGTACTGATTTGCATTACTCTAATGATGAGTAATGTTGAGCATTTTTTCATGTTTGTTGGCCACTTGGATGTCTTCTCTTGAGAAGTTTCTGTTCACATCATTTGTCCACTTTTTAAGGGAGTTGTTTGCTTTTTGCTTGTTTAAATGCATAAAATCATTTTAGATGCTGGATATTAGGCTTTTGTTGATGCACAGAATGTAAATATTTCCTCCCATTCTCTAGGTTGCCTGTTTACTCTGTTGATAATTTCTTTTGCTGTGCAGAGACACTTTATTTTAATTAGTGCCTACTTGTCAATTTTTGTTTTTGTTGCAATTGCTCTTGAGGGCTTACTACTAAATTCTTTGCCAATGCCAATGTTGGGAAGGATATTTCCTAAGTTTTCTTATAGGATTTTTATGGTTTTACATTTTATATTTAATCGGACACAAAGACCAACGGAACAGAATAGAGAATGCAGAAATAGAGCTGCACATATAGAGCCATTTGGTCTTCAACGAAGTTAAGAAATTAATAAAAGGACAAGAACTCTCTATTTAATAAATGGTGCTGGATATATGACTAGCAATATGCAAAAGAGTGAAACTAGACCCCTACATTTCAACATATATAAAAATTAACTCAAGATGGATTAGAGAATTAAATGTAAGACCTCACACTATAAGAATCCTAGAAGAAAACCTGAGAAACATCATTCTGGACTTTGGCTTGGGAAAGAATTTAAGACTAAGTCCTCAAAAGCAATTGCAACAAAAACAAAAATTGACAAATGGGAACTAGTTAAACTAAATAGCTTATGCACAGCAAAAGAAACTATCAACAGAGTAATTAGGTAACATACAGAATGAAAGAAAATATTCATAAACTATGCATCTGGCAAGGTCTAATATCAAACATCTATAAGGAGCTTAAATAAGTGAACAAGCAAAATGCAAATAACACCATTAAAAAGTGGTCAAAAGACATGAGCAAACAGTCCCAAAAGAAGACATCCAAACGGCCTAGAAACATAGGAAAAAATGCTCAACATCACTAATCATCAGAGAAATGCAAAGTAAAACCACAATGATACATCATCTTACACCAGTCAGAATGGCTATTATTAAAAAGTCAAAAAATGACAGATGCTGGCAAGACTATGGAGAAAAGGAACACTTTTACACTGTGGGTGGGAATGTAAATTAGTTCAGCCACTGTGAAAGCAGTTTGGAGATTTCTATAAGAACTTAAAGCAAAACTACCATTTGACCCAGCAATCCCATTACTAGGTATATATCTAAAGGGAAATAAATCATTCCACAAAAAAAAAACAAAAAACAACATATTCACTTGTATGTTCATTGCAGCACTATTCACAATAGTAAATATATAGAATCAACTTAGGTGTCTGTCTAAGGTGTATTGGATCAAGAAAATGTGATACATATTCACTATGTAATACTACACAGACATAAAAAAATGAAATCATGTTATTTGCAGAAACATGAATGCAGCTTAGGTCATTATCCTAAGTGAATTAATGCAGGAACAGAAAACCAAATACCACATGTTCTCACTAATAACTGAGAGCTAAACATTGGGTACACATGAACATAAAGATGGCAACAATAGAAAATGGAGAATACTAGAGGGGAAAGGGAGTGGGTGAGGGTTGAAAAATGTCCTATTGTTTACTATGCTTCGGGGGCTAGGTAATTGTATCAATCATATTCCAAACCTCAACGTCAACAATATACTCAGGTAATAAATCTGCACATGTATCCCCTGAATCTAAAATGAAAGTTAAAATTTTTTTTTAAAGTTTAACATTGAAGTCTTTCATTCATCTTGAGCTAGTTTGTTGTATATGATGAAAGATAGGGGTACAGTTTTGTTCTTCTGCATATGGTTAGCCAGTTTTCCCAGCACTATTTTTGAATAGGTAGTCCTTTCCCTACTGATGATTTTTGTCAACTTTGTTGAAGATCAGATGGTTGTAGGCATGTGGTTTTATGTCTGGGTTCTCTATTCTGTTTCTTTGGACAATGTATCTGTTTTTGCATCAGTATCATGCTGTTTTGGTTAGTGTAACCCTGTAGTATAGTTTGAAGTTGGGTAATGTGATCCCTCCGGCTTTGTTTGTTTGATAAGGATTGCTATTTGGGGTATTTTTTGGTTCCATATGAACTTTAGAATTTTTTTTTCTATTTCTGTGAAAAAAATGGTAGTAGTTTGAGAGGAATAGCACTGAATTCATAGATTGCTTTGGGCAGTATGGCCATTTTAATAATGTTGATTATTCCAATCCATGAACATGGAAGATTTTTCCATTTGTTTCTGTCATCTATGACTTCTTTCAGCAGTGTTTTGGAATTCTTCTTGTAGAGATATGTCACTTCTTTTGTTAGATGTATTCTTAGGTATTTTACTTTGTGCGGCTATTTTAAGTGGAACATGTTCTTAATTTGGTTCTCGGCTTGAACGTTATTGATGTATAGGAATGCTACCAAGTTTTGTACATTGATTTTGTACCCTGAAATATTACTGAAGTTATTTATCGGTTCTAGGAGCTTTTTGGTGTAGTCTTGAAGGTTTTCTAGGTATAAAATCACACGATATGGCTGGGTGCAGTGGCTCACACCTGTAATCCCAGCACTTTGGGAGGCCGAGGTGGAAGGATCACAAGGTCAGGAATTCGAGACCAGACTGACCAACATGGTGAAACCCTGTCTCTACTAAAAATACAAAAATTAGCCGGGCATGGTGGCACGTGCCTATAATCCCAGCTACTCACGAGGCTGAGGCAGGAGAATCGCCTGAACCTGGGAGGCAGAGGTTGCAGTGAGCCAAGATTGTGCCACTGCACTCCAGCCTGGGTGACAGAGTGAGACTCCATTTCAAAACAAACAAACAAAAACACAAAACCAAAACAACAATAAAAAAATCATATGATTAGCAAAGAAAGATAATTTGACTATTTCTTTTCCTATTTGGATGCATTTTATTATTGTCTTTCTCTGGCTAGCACTTCCAGTACTATATTGAATAGGAGTTGTGAGAGTGTGCATCCTTGCCTTGTTTCAGTTATCAAGGGGAATGCTTCCAGCTTTTCCTTTTTGGTATGATGTTGTCTGTGGGTTTGTCATAGATGGCTCTTATGATTTTGAGGTCTGTTTTTTCAACACCTAATTTGTAGAGTTTTTATCATGCAGAGATACTGAATTGTATTGAAAGCTTATTTTTTATTCTATTGAGTGATCACATGGTTTTTGTTTTTAATTCTGTTTATGTGGTAGATAACATTTATTGATTTGTGTATGTTGGAACAACCCTGTGTGCCAGGAATAAAGCATACTTGACTGTGGTGAATTCACTTCTTGATGTGCTGCTGAGTTTGGTTTGCTAGTATTTTGCAGAAAAATTTTACATCTGTATTCATCAGGGATATTGATCTATAGTTCTATTTTCTGTTGTGTCTTCCAGATTTTGGTAACAGAATGATGTTGCTTTCATAGAATGAGTTAGGGAGGAGTACTGCATCCTCAATTTTTGGTAATAGTTTCAGGAGAATTGGTACCAGCTCTCATTTATAATTCTGGAAAAAGTTGGCTATGACTCTGTCTGGTCTAGGTCTCCGTTTTGTTGTTAGGTATTTTATTACTTACTCAATTCTGGAATTCAATATTGGTCTGTTCAGGGTTTCAATTTCTTTCTGATTCAGTGTTGGTAGAGTATGTGTTTTCAGAAATTTATCCATTTTCTCTCGATTTTCTAGTTTGTGTGCACAGAAGTGTTCATAATAGTCTCTGAGGATATTTTGTATTTCTCTTGGATCAGTTGTAATGCCATCTTTGTCATTTTTTATTGTGTTTATTTGGATCTTCTCTCCTTTTCAATTAGTCTAGCTAATGGTCTGTTGATCTTGTTTATCCTTTCAAAGAACCAGATTTTGCTTTTGTTTATCTTTTGTATGGGTGTATGTGTCTCAATTTCATTCAGTTCTGCCCTGTTTTAGATATTTTTTTCTTCTGCTAGTTATGGGATGAGTTTGCTCTTGTGTTTTAGTTTCTCTAGGTGTTATGTCACATTATTAATTTGAGATCTTTTAAACTTTTTGATGTAGGTTTCCAGCCTAATAAACCTTCCTCCTAACACTTGCCCAATGTACATACTGCTTTTCCTGCATCCCAGAGATTTTGGTATGTTGTGTCTCTGCTTTAATTTATTTCAAATTTTTTTTTTTTAATTTCTGCCTTACTTTCATTGTTTACTTGAGACTCGTTCCGGAGCAAGTTGTTTAACTTCCATGCAATTGTATGGTTTTGAGAGCTATCCTGGTTATTGATTTGTATTTTATTCCACTGTGTTCTGAAAGCATGGTTGGTATGATTTTGATATTTTAAAATTTATTGAGATTTGCTTTATGGCCAAATATGTGGTTGATCTTGGAGTATGATCCATGTGCAGATGAGAAGAATGTATAATCTGTGGTTGATGAATGGAATGCCCTATAGATATCTATAAGGTCCAATCAGTCAAGCATTAAGTTTACGACCAGAATTTCTTTGTTAGTTTTCTGCTTTGATGATCTATCTAACACTGTCTGTGGGGTGTTGAAGACTCCTACTCTTATTGTGTGGTAGTCTAAGTCTTTTCATAGGTGTAGAAATGCTTGTTTTATTAATCTAGTACTTCAATGTTGGGTGCGTGTATATTCAAGATAGATACAACTTCTTGTTGAGTTGAACCATTTATCATTATGTAATGTCATTGTTTGTTCTTATCCCTGTTGTTGTAAAGTCTGTTTTATCTGACCCCTACTCTTTTTAGTTTCCTGTTTGCATGATAGATCTTTCTCCAACCTTTTACTTTGAGCTTATGAGTGTCATTACATGTCAGATTGATCTCTTGAAGACAGAGATGGGTGGGGTTTGTTTTTGTACCCAATTTGCACTCTGTGCCTTTTAAGTGGGGGTATTTAGACCATTTACATTCAGGGTTAATATTGATATATAAAGTTTTAATCCTATCATGAAGTTATTAGCTGATTATTTTGCATTTTTTATCATGTAATTGTTTTATAGGATCTGTGGGCCATGCACCTAAGTGAGATTTTGTGGTAGCAGGTATTGTTCTTTCATTTCTGCGTTTAGCACTCCCTGAGGATTTCTTGTAATGCCAATCAAGTGGTAATGAATTCCCTTAGTGATTTCTTCTCTGAAAAAACATTTTCTCTTCTTTGTTTAGAATCTTAGTTTCTTGGGATATGAATTTTTTGCTAAAATTTCTTTTCTTTAAGAATGCTGAAAATAGACCTCCAATCTCTTCCTGCTTATAAGGTTTCTGCTGAAAAGTCGCCTGTTAGCCTGATGGGATTCCCTTTGTACATTATCTGATGTTTCACTCTAGCTGCTTTTAATATATGTTTTATTAATCGTTGACTTTGGACAGTCTGGTGACTATATGCCTTGGTGATGTTCATTTTGTATAGTATCTCGCAGACATTCTCTGGATTTCTTGTTTCTGAATGTCTATCTCTCTAGCAAGATTAGGACAATTTTCTCAAATTATTCTTCTAATAAGTTTTTCCATGCTGTTTACTTTTTCTTTTTCTCTCTCAGGAATGCCAATAATTCATAGGTTTGGTTGCTTTATGTAATTCCATATTTCTTGGATACATTGTTCATTTTTTAATTTTTTTTTTAGTTTTGTCTGACTTGGTTAGTTCAGAAGACTTGTCTTCAAGCGTTGAATTTCTTTTTTCTGCTTGGTCTAGTCTATTGATAAAGCTTTCAGTTGTATTTTCACAGTCTTTAATGAGATTTTCAAATCCAATAGCTTGGATTGATTTCTTTTTAAGATGTTTATCTCTTCTTTCACTTCCTGGATTGCTTTATAAGTTTCTTTGTGTTGATTTTGAAATATGTCTGGGATCTCATTTAGCTTGTTTCAAATCTGTATTTTGAATTCCTCACCTGTCATTTCTGAGTTTCCATTTTGTTTAGGAACCATTGCTGGAGAGCACGTGTAATCTTCTGGTGGTGTCACAACACTCAGATTTTTCATGGTGCTGACATTCTTATGCTGGTTCCTTCTCATCTGGAGATGCTGGCACTTTTAATTAATGTAATTCTTTTCTTGTAGATACAATTTTTTTTCTTTTCCTATATATATATATATTTTTTTCATTCTCTTTCCCCTCCTGCCTAAAGGATGCAGCTGTAGAGTATGTTGGGTAAGGTCTTTTGGCTTTGCTTATAGAGTCTTATGCACTTCTGCCAGTAGATTTTATATTGGGATGTACAGTTTGACCTACAGGCCAGTTGCGGGTACTTACATGCGGGAGCCCGCTATAGAAAGAGCACGGGGGTATATACTTGATCTTTGTTTACTGTGTGGTGCTCTATGTTGTTTCAGGTGAAAGGCTGAACAGTAGAGTCCTGGTGTCCTGAGATTCCTGTTTTGTGGGGGTGCCAGAAACATAGCTATGCAGAACTAGAGCCCCTGGCTTGCCTATGCATACCTCAATGGCAAGTGCAGGCACCAACCCTGACAAGTGTGGCTGGATCTCCTGATGAAGTGTTCTGAGTTCTCTGTGGTGGGGTGAGGGGGCTGCACTAGCTTTTTACCCTATATAGGCAGGAACTTAATCTTTTGTCTTCCAGTCACACCCCTATTCCTGCGCTCATGGCTGCTAACTGCTAGCTCAGCTGTTCACTATAGTATATCTCTGGACCACAACATGATTGAAAGCCATGAGAAACATCTGTTTTATGATTCTGTGGGCATCGTTTCAGAGCATAACCTCATCACTCAACCTGATACAGATAGCTTTTTTAGCTCACCTATTCTCCAATATGGCAGTAGTATACTGTTGGTTCCTGTAAAAGGATGTGTCACCTTTGGACCCATGCAAGTGGGTGCTAGTTTTGGTGGTGTCAGCTGGTTTTGTCAGCCTGACCTCAGGCCCTGAGGCAGTGGTCTCGTGCCAGCAGAGTTGAAATGGGGTAGGTAGTTCCCAGGCCCCTAGGTGGACTGCTGGACAGCATATATGAGTCCTGAAGGGGCTGGGCCAGGATTGGGTAAGCCCAGATTCAGGTGCTGGCTGTGATGGGGAGGGGTGGGATGGTCATTGGGTCACTGGCTGAACCCTCAGGCAGGGTCAGACAGAATACTTAGATGCCGGGAGCCTCAGGGATTATCATAGGCCTGTGGGGGTGTAATTTTCAGAAAGGTGCTGGGCCACAGGTGAACTGTTCAGGTTGGAGTAGGGCAGCTGTACTGTGGGCTTTTCACTGAGGAGGACAGGATCCCTCAGCTGGGACAGTGGAGACTGGCAGCTTTGAGACATGTGGTACCTCTCACTTTCTTCCCACTAAAGCAATATTGGGCTTTACTATTAGGGTCATGCGACAGGGCCAAGCCTGGTCTGTTACCTCTGGGAGTTTTGCCCCAGAGGAATGCAGAGCTATGACAGCTACAATTTTGTATTGGTGGTGGGCTGCTGTGCTGGGAGCTCAAACTGGTCAGTCCCTCCTGGCAAGGAGCAGTGGGGGTGGGGGGTTGTGCAGTCTGTAGTATGGGCACTTCCCAGAGGAGTGCAGATCTGCAACCACCTGCAGTGTACAGGCAGGGGTGGAGTCACTGCACTAGAGCCCAAGCTCGGGAGCCTTGCCTGGTGACAAGCAGTAGAGCAGTCTGGCCACTTCTCAGCATCATGGCTGTGGCCTCTGTTTGAGCTATGGCAGCTAGTGCTTGACTCTTCAGGGATCCAAGGCCTGTGGGGCTCCAAGTGGGCTTCGGCAGTGCCTCTGCAAAGACTCTAGGTGACTCTGTGTTGATCTGGAAACTTGAAGGGACTGGAAGGCGTCTCCTGTGCCCAGGATCGCAAAGGTCTGTGACAAAAGTGTGAATTCCCTGAAGATTCTCATTCACTCACTCTTTCTTCATGACAGGGAGTTTCCCCTGGCTTCACACCATCCCAAGTGGGCAGCTGCTTGGCTTTGTTCCTCTCTGTTCTCTATGGGTCCTGTCACTCCCTTAGTGAATCCTGACGTGAGCTCTTAACCAATCCACTTGAAATGCCAGTATTTATTTGCCACTTTGTTTACTTCCCAAGAAAGTGGCACGCAATAGCTGCTTCAAGTCAGCTATCTTGAACCAGAACTAAATGGTGATGTTTCAATATATACATAATGTAGAGTGATCATATCAGATTAATAAGCACATCTGTCATCTCAAACATTTATCATTTCTTTGTGTTGGGGACATTCAATATCCGCCTCCTGGCTTTTTGAATATATATATATTATTGTCAACTATAGTCATCCTACAGTGTTATAGAACACTAAAACTTATTCCTCCTATCTTGCTTTAATCTCTCCCTATCCCCCATTCCCTACCATTGCCAGCCTGTAATATCCTCTGTTCTACTTTTTTACTTTTATGAGATCACCTTTTAAAAAAAAATATTTAGCTTTCACATATGAGTGAGAACATGTGGTGTTTAACTTTCCATTCCTGGCTTATTTCACTTTACAAAATGTCCTCAAACTTCATCCATGTTGTTTGAAATGACAAGATTTCATTCTTTTTTTTTTTTTTTTTTTTTTTTTGAGACGGAGTTTCGCTCTGTCGCCCAGGCTGGAGTGCAGTGGCGTGATCTCGACTCACTGCAAGCTCCGCCTCCCGGGTTCACGCCATTCTCCTGCCTCAGCCTCCCGTGTAGCTGGGACTACAGGCACGCGCCATCATGCCCGGCTAATTTTTGTATTTTTAGTAGAGACGGGGTTTCACCGTGTTAGCCAGGATGGTCTCGATCTCCTGACCTCGTGATCCGCCCGTCTCGGCCTCCCAAAGTGCTGGGATTACAGGCGTGAGCCACCGCACCCGGCCAAGATTTCATTCTTTTATATGGCTGAATAGTACTCCATTGTGTATAGACACCACGTTTTCTTTATCAATTCATCTCTTGTTGGACATATCTAAGTTGATTCCCTATCTTAGCCTCACTATTGTGAATAGTGCTTCAATAAACATGGGGTGCAGATGTCCCTTCAATATACTAATCTTTCTTTTGGATAAATGCCCATTAGTGGGATTTTTGGATCCATACTGTTCTCCATAGTGGATGTACTAGTTTACATTTTCACAAACAGTGTGAGTGTACACCCTTTTCTCCACGTCTTTATCAGCATTTGTTTTTTTTTTTGTCTTTTTTAATAATAGCCATTCTAATGGGGTTAAGAAGATACTTCATTGTGGTTTAGCCAGACATTTTGGTAGAGTCCCTTTCTAAAAAGTTTTACTTCATTCTCCAACTTGTGTTGCTGGCCCTGGCTTTTCAAGCATAAGACTTCAGGATTTAATCATGTCACAAGAAGCACTCTGAGGCCTGCCCTCAGGATAAAAGGTAGAGGAAACAGGAAACTTTCCTAATGGCATTTATTTCTTTCAAGTGTTAACTCCTTTCCAATATTGGTTTGCTTTTGTTCATCTTCCATGGCTACTACCTATCTAGTTGGTTGTTACTGATGTTGACTTTTTTTGTAATTTTTCAACATTTATATTTGTTTTTTGTGAGCGATTAAGTTTTATAGGAGTCATTTGGCCATACTGAAAGCAAATGTCCAATTGTTTGCCTTCTGTACTAGTCCTTTTTCACACTGCTATAAAGATACTAGCCAAGATAGGGTAATTTATAAAAAGAAAGAGGTTTAATTGACTCATAGTTCTGCATTGCTGGGTAGGCCTCAGGAAACTTATAATCATGCTGGAAGGCAAAGAAGAAGACAATACCTTCTTCACAAGGAGGCAGGAAAGAAAGAAAGCAAAGTGGGAAGAGCCCCTTATAAAACCATCAGATCTTGCAAGAAATCACTATTGTGAGAAAAGCATGGGGAATGCTGTCCCCCATGATCCAATCACCTCCTCCCTGCCTCAACAGGTGGGGATTACAGTTCGAGATGAGATTTGGGTAAGGACCCAGAGCCAAATGATATCACCTTCTAAATCTTATTTTTAACTGTAATGAAAGCATTATTTCCCTGATGAAAGCATGGAGGGCTAAACAGAAATTTTATCAATGACCCAATGTACATTGCATTTTTTATTAATAACACTTGGTGATAAAAGAGAAAAAATGTTTTGCCTTCCAATAGACTCTGCTCCTCTTTATCCATGTATTCATTAATTTATTCAACATATATTTATGAGCTAGAAATCAATTATGTACTTGGGATACAGCTATAAAAAACATATAACATCTATTTTTGTGGAGCTGACATTGTAGAAGAATGAAAGAAATATGAAACAGAAGGTGAATAAGTTAGACAATTGCTTTATACAATAGAAAGCAATAAGCACCATGTAAATTAGGGAGCAAAGAAACAAAATTGTGGAGGATGGTGGTGCATGGGGGTTTGTAGCTGGAAATAAGGTGTTACTGCATTGAGAGTTAGGGTACTGAGAAAAAGTATAAAGGAGATGAAATAAGTTAACCAAGTGGACATCTGTGGTTCAAGAAGAGGAAACACCCAGTAGACATTCAAAGCCTCTAGCAAATGCAAAGAGGTCTGTGTGTCTACAACAGTGATCCAGGAGGGGTGTAGTGGGAACTGAGGACAGATATGTACAGGGAAATACATTATAAAAGGCTTGTTTGCAGATGATATGGAAATTAGCTTTTACATTGAATGAAAAGGAGAACCATTAAAAGGGTTAAAGCATTGAGGGGACATGTAACTTAGACAAAGGATTAAATTAGATGCTGTATCAAAAGTACATTGCAGCAAAATAACTTGGCAAGAGTTTATCAAAGCAAGCCAAGTTATCTATAAGGGGATTTATACAAGGCTAATACACGATAAAAATTGGAAGAACGTTCAAATTACGGATATATGTCAAAAGCAGGCATAAAGGATTTTATGTAGGTTATATGTGGGTCGTCAGAAAAATAGAAGGGCCGAGGTTAACTCTGAAATACTTGCCTTGATCAACTAAAGTTACTAATATGTGGAAGTTTATTAGGGAATATTAAGATAGTGCCAGTTTGAGAGAGTGCAAGTTTAAGATAGTGCAAGTTTGAGAGAGGGATAGCTGAAGATATAAAGTGAGGTGTAACTGCAAATATGTGGTATTTAAAGCCATAAAAGTAGATTTCAGGAGAATGAGTGCAGTCTCAATCCAAAGAGGACCAAAAGGGGCATAAGAGGAAGGTTGGAGGTCTGCAAAATTAACTCACAGCAGTCCTTTAATCATCTCTACATAAATCCATGACTACAACAAACAAAATATAAAAATCACTGATTTGTATAAGATCCTAATTTTACTCATGAACAAAATGAAAGAAGGGTAAGATTATTTAAGTATCTAATATAAAAATGGCAATAGAGCTCAGAAAAAATGCCTCAGCTAGTTGACTAATGATTTTGGAACTACTTGTAAAACAAGAGGCGAAATGGCATGGCTCTTTGTCCCCACCCAAATCTCATCTTGTAGTTTGTATAATTCCCACATGTTGTGGGAGGGACACAATGGGAGATAATTGTATCATGGGGGTGGGTCTTTCCCATGATGTTCTCATGAGAGTAAATGGGTCTCACGAGAACTGCTGGTTTTAAAAATGGGAGTCTCCCTATACAAGGTCTTTTTTTTTTTTTTGGCCTGCCACCATCCATACAAGATGTGACTTGCTCCTCCTTGCCTTCCGCCATGATTGTGAGGCCTCCCTAGCCATGTAGAACTGTAAGTCCATTAAAGCTCTTTCCACACACCCTCCCCCCTACCAGTCTTGGGTATGTCTTTATTAGCAGCATGAAAACGGACTAAAACGTAAATTGGTACCAGTAGAGTGGGGCACTGCTGAAAAGATACCTGGAAATGTGGAAGCAACTTTGGGACTGGGAAACAGGCAGAGATTAGAATAGTTTGGAAGCCTCAGAAGACAACAAGAAAATGTGGGAAAGTTTGCAACTCCCTAGAAAATTGTTGAATGGCTTTGACCAAAATACTGATAGCTATATGGACAATAAGGTCTAGGCTGAGGTGGTCTCAGATGGAGATGAGAAACTTCTTGGGAACTGTAGCAAAGGTGTCTCTTGTTATGTTTTAACAAAGAGACTGGCAGCATTTTGCCCTGGCCTAGAAGTTCGTGGAACTTTGAACTTGACAGAGATGATTTAGGGCACCTGGCAGAAGAAATTTCTAAGCAGCACAGCATTCAAGAGGTGACTTGGGTGCTATTAAAGGCATTCTGTTTCAAATGGGAAACACAGCATAAAAGTTTGGAAAATTTGCAGACTGAAAAGGCAAATAGAAACGAAAATCCCATTTTCTGAGAATAAATTCAAGCTGGCTGCAGAAAATTGCATACGTAATAAGGACCTGAATGTTAATCATCAAGACAATTGGGAAAATGTCTCCAGGGCATTTCAGAGACCTTTGCTGCAGCCCCTCCCATAACAGACCCAGAGGCCTAGGAAGAAAAAGTGGTTTCATGGGCTGGGCCTAGGGTCCCTGTCCTGTGCACAGCCTAGGGACTTGGTGCCTGCATCCCAGCAGCTCTAACTGTGGCTGAAAGGGCCTCTGTAGAGCCCAGTCCATGGCCTCAGAGGGTGCAAGCCTCAGTGCTTGGCAGCTTCCATGTAGTGTTGAGCCTGCAAATGCACAGAAGTCAAGAATTGATGTTTGGGAGCCTCCACCCAGATTTCAGAATATGTATGGAAACACCTAGATGCCCAGGCAGAAGTTTGCTGTAGGAGTGGAATCCTCATGGAGAACCTCTACTAGGAGAGTGCAGAAGGCAAATGTGGAGTGGGAACCCCCATACAGAGTCCCTACTGGGGCAGTGTCTAATGGAGATGTGAGTAGAGGGCCACCATCCTCTAGACCCCAGAATGGTAGATCCACTGACAGCTTGCACTGTGCACCTGGAAAAGCCATAAACATCAATGCCAGCCCATGAAAGCAGCCTAGAGGAGGACTGTACCCTGCAAAGCCACAGGGGCAGAGCTTCTCAAGACCATGGGAACCCACCTCTTGCATCAGCGTGACCTGGATGTGAGACATGGAGTCAAAGGAGATTATTTTGGAGCTTTAAGATTTACTGCCTTCTGGATTTTGGATTTGTATGGGGCCTTTAGTGCCTTTGTTTTAGCCAATTTCTCCCATTTGGAACAGCTGTATTTACCCAAAGCCTGTACACCCATTATATCTAGGAAGTAACTAACTTGCTTTTGATTTTACAAGCTCATAGGCAGAAAGGACTTGCCTTGTCTTGAGTTAATGCTGAAATGAGTTAAGACTTTGGGAGACTGTTTGGAAGGCATGATTGGTTTTGAAATGTGAATATATGAGATTTGAGAGGGGCCAGTGGCAGAATGATATGGGTTGGCTCTGTGTCCCCACCCAAATCTTATCTTGTATATTCTATAATTTCCATGTGTTGTGGGAGGGACCCAGTGGGAGATAATTGAATCACGGGAGCAGGTCTTTCCTGTGCTGTTCTCATGATAGTGAATGGATCTCATGAGATCTGATGGTTTTAAAAATAAGAGTCCCCCTGCACAAGCTTTATTTATTTATTTATTTATTTATTTATTTATTTATTTATTTTGCCTGCCTCCATCCATGTAAGATGTGACATACTCCTCCTTGCCTTCTGCCATAACTGTGAGGCTCCCCCAGCTATGTGGAACTGTAAGCCCATTAAACCTCTTTTTCTTCCCTGTCTTGGGTATGTCTTTATCAGCAGCATGAAAACAGACTAATACAAGAAGGTAGAAGTTATCAAGTATTTTTCATGGAAGATCCCAAAAGACAGATGTATACATTTATCAAAAAATTAATTACAGTCTTTCCTATGCTAATTAATTAAACACAGACTTTGAAAGTTGAAATATTCTTACATATAACCAATATTCTTAAGAAAATTCAAAACTATTGTATTGAGGGAATATAAAGTGTGTAAATTCAATATATTTCATCACACACTCTTAACCATTTCTGTTCAGTAATGGAAGAAGTAGAAATAATTTTATTGGAAGTTTATAGGAAAGAAATCTATACAAAGTCTTAGCCAATGATAGTTTAATTATTTTTTATAGAATCATTTATGGAACTTCTGGTAGACTCTAATGCTTAAACTTCTAATTTCCTCTTTCATGTATTAGATTAAAATATTTTGCTATAAAATATTCTATCTTTGAATACAAATATATTCAAAGAGCTCCAAGGTATGAGAGGCTCCCCTTTTTATCTTTGAATACAAAGATAAATCCTCCAGATAAAATATTTCAAGTTTATACAAAAGCTTTTTTTATTGAAGGATTCAATAATATCTTCCCAACTTTATAAATAACATCATTTCACACACTGTTGGATTTCAGCTTCTATTAAGTTGCTAGACATCGCCATCAGGCAGTAATTCTCAGACTCCAAAAATACTAATCCCATATCTTATTTAGTGAACTGGGATCATAAATATATGGAGCATGTTCACTATGGTGCTTCAGGCAATACGTAACCAATAAATTGCAAGCAATGATCTTATTCTCAGGTGTAAATATCTGCCTTTAGATGAATGCATTTGAAAGTATATACTAGATAATATTTTCCATTCTTTATTGGGTAATTGTGTTATATTCCCAAAGTGATATAAATGCTTCTATCTTATTTCCATTTACAGACATGATTCTGTTTCTAGAGTCCTAAGATCAACATTAAGCTTCTAAGGAAACCACACAGCAATTGATAACTTACAGTCCTGGAGAATGGTTGTATGCAACCATCACTACTCAGTTCAGTAGGATTCTATTGTGAAATCCCTAGTAATATGACTTCTCTGATCTGCCAGTACTTTTCGTAATTTAGAATGAGCACTTCAGTATTGATTTTATTAAAAATCTCCTACATCAAATATGTCAATTGGTGGGAATGGCAACAAAGTTAAATGCACTACACCCAAGGTAGAAAAGGAGAAATCTTACTTATTACCTCCAATTTGCCTCCTTGATATTTGCAGATTCCTCTATCTGAGAACCATGTGTGTGTATGGGAGTGCAATGTCATTACTTTTAGTACTTCTTTCACTACTCAACGCAAGTATTAAATGTTATTGTACTCTTATTTAACTCTCATGTGTAATACATTTGTCTTTCCTACATTATCACATCATGTTTTCATTGTTTCATGCCACCTTTGCTACAGTACCATTTCTGTTTCTATTTTTAAAATGTGCTTCATTACTATGCTCTCGTGTTTTAATACAGCTGGTCCCCTTTTAGTTATCAAGTTTCACACTGAGTTCCAAACAAAGAGGCTGGAGGAAAGTAGATATGCGACTTATTCTTAGATTTTTTTTTTAAATTGATACAAAGTATTTTACATATTCATGGATACGGGTATTTCTTACATTCATAATGTGTGTAATGATCATGTCAGGGTATTTGGAATACCCATCACCTTGAGTATTTATCATGTCTATGTGTTGGTAACATTTTAAGTTCTCTCTTCTAGTGGTTTTGGAATATACAATATATTATTGCTAATTATAGTCACCCGACTCTGATTGTTTTTTAACACTAGTGTTCTTGGGTCTCTGAACCATTGGGTAATTTTTTAAAATTAAGTCATTTTTGTTTCATGTAACGCTTGGTGTCAATTTTTTTAAAAAAACAGTAATGATATATTTCTTCTAATTTAAAAATGGTGCTTCACAGATAAAATGTGTAATTCTTATTTTGTCCTCTACCATTTTCCCCCTCCTGTTTGTTTTTGTTCTTTGTTTTTAATGATATTGCCACTAGCTGGTTTAGACACTATTTTGAATGTTTTTATGTAATTCTGTCATTCATATCTTGGGCATATTTCTGAAACTTGGCATCATGTATGTGTGGTTTGTGAGGTGGAGGGGTGATAAAATAGATTGTTTTTATGAGGTATTTCAATTTTTTATTTTCTTTAATATAAAAATTTAGACACCACTTAGTTCAAAACTCTCATAATGGGTTAAGTGAGGTGTAGTTACTGCTCTAGGGCCACTGAGATATTTACTAGAAAATACAAAAGCTGCACTTTGGTTTTCTTGCTTTTAGTAAATGCTTTTTTATATTTCACTATGATGAACTCATTTTAGATTATTAGAGTTACAAAGATGCATTATTTCTGTTTGCTCTGCAAAAGAAAAATGTGGGTAAAATCCAGTGTCTCTTCTGTTCTGAAAACTAAGGGCAAATTGAGAATGGGAAAACAATGGGCAGGAGACTGGTCAAGTATAATAAAAAGCAGCAGATCACAACCATCAGAAAGAAGGAAAAATGTTAAAAATGTGAAGAAAATTAAATTTTGACATTTGTTTTTAGAGAAAGTTTTAGTTTGTAAATTTTGACTCTGGATTATAAAGTTTTGTTTTGCTTTGCTTTTAATCTTTTATTTTAAAATACTTGACAAATAAAAATTCGATGTGTTAAAGGTGTACAATGTGATAATTTTATTTACATAAACACTATTTAATAATTACCACAATCAATTTACTCAACACATTCATCACCACCCATGCTACACAGTAGATACCCAGAACTTTTTTCATCTAGTTACTGAAAGTTTGTACCCTTCGACAAACATCTCCTGATTTGCTCCATCCCTGTCCCCTGACAACCATTGCTCTAGTCTGTTTCTATAAGTGTGATTTTTAAAAATAATATCCATATGAGTGAAATAATACAGTATTTGTCTATACCTGGCTTATTTTATTATATATAATGTTTTCCAGGTCCATCCATGTTGTTGCAAATGGCAGGACTATCTTCTTTTTCATGGCTGAGTAATATTGCACTGTGTGTGTGTGTGTGTGCGTGTGTGTGTGTGTGTGTGTGTGTATTCATCTATTTAGTGATCACAAAATTTTTTCTTTATTCTGAATTTAAATGATTGCTTTCCCACTTAGATTTTTACTATTAACCCCCTGTAAGTTCTCTAGATTCCTGGAATTGAACCACTATAAAAGTATAATTTTCATAGATTTTGTTTGCTGATCTTTTGCCCCAGAGTTTTTCCATTTGTTTTTAATAATGAGATTGTGCCCCACACTTTGTTGTCAAGGTAACTCTGGGTTCATAAAATGAGTTTAAAAGCATTTTCTCTTTCTCTGTCACTCTTTAGGTTTAAAAGTGTGTGTTCTCTCTCTCTCTCTCTCTCTCTCTCTGTCTCTCCCTCTCTGTCTCTCATTATCTGGAAGAAATAGAGTAAGACTGGTGCTTTCCAAAACATTTAGAAGAATTCCCAAAAGAAATTACCTGGAGCAATATATTTGTTTCTCTTTCTTAAGTATAGGTTTCAGTTCCTCTATGATTACAACAGCTTTTGTATTTTTAAATTTATCCACATGTGTGTTTTAGTAAATGTACTTTCCTAGACATCCATACATTTATATTTATTTATATAATCAAATTTAGATGACAAAATTATTTAAAATAGTCTCAGGATTTTTGAAGTCAAGAATCTGTAATAATGTCCAACTTTTAAATTCTTCATGTGGGTTATTCTCTCCGTTTCATTGATAAGTTCTAATAACAGAATTTATCAGTTCTATTAATGTTTTCAAAGCATCAGCTTGCAGCCTTATTGTTCTATTGGTTGTATATTTGTTTGTGGTTCCTTAATTTCTACCCTTATCTGTATTATTTCTTTCTTTCTGCTTTCTTTAGCTTTAATTTGTTGTTTTTGCAAACTTTATGAGAAGGCTCCTTAATTCATTTGTTGTTAACCTTTCTTCTTTATTTGTATATAGATTTTAGGCTATGCATTTCCATATATGCATAGTTTCGGCTTCATCCAACCTGCTTTGAAATGATTAATTTTGTATCACTTTAAGTTTCAAATTATTTTCTAATTTCCAATGTAATTTCTTCTATTATACATGGATTCATTAGAAGATTAATATTTCCTAATATTTGTGGATTTTATAAATTTCTTATCATTGCTCATTTCTAGCTAACTTGCAGAATTCGCAGAACATATACTATGTATAAATTTGTAGTTTTGTCAGATTTACTTTATGCCCTTGAGCATGTTTTATTAGAGTAAATCACCCATTATCACTTAAACAAAAAGTGTACTCTGCTGCCCTTAGATGTGGCATTTTCATATGTTTTTCATTTGTTTATTCATTCTTCCTATCCTACTATCCTCATCAGAATATACAGTGTTTCAAGAACAGACTACAAAATTTATTAGTGGAGTGCTACATATTGAAGAAGCCCCCTTTTGGCTCACCTAAGAGGACAAAATATAAACATGAACCTAACAATAGTGTTTAATAGTTGCTTGCAACCAGTACAGATACATACTTTTAAAACAGAAAGTATAAAATAGGTTCTAATAATTTGCTAGGTTAATAGCTAGGATTTTTGAAAACTGATAAATAAAAATTTATATATGTTTATCATCTATAACATGTTGTTTTGAAATATGTATACATTGTGAAATGGCTAAATCAAGCTAATTAACATATCCATTACCTCACCAGTTCATTATTTGTGAGGTAAAAACACTTAAAATATACTCTCTTAATAATTTTCAATACAATTATTGTTATTAACTATAGTCACTATGTTGTACAATAGATCACTTGCACTTATTCTTCCTACGTAACTGAGATTTTGTTCCTTTGACCAATATCTTCCCCATCCCCCTTCCACCTCCAGCCTCTGGTAACCACCATTCTACTCTCTACTGCTATGGAGTTCAATTATTTTACACTTCACATATAAATGAAATATAGTGCTGTCTGTCTTTCTGTGCCTCTTTTATTTCACTTAACAAAATGTCCTTCAGGTTCATCCATGTTGCCCAAACGACAGAGTTTCTTTTTTAAAGCTGAATAATATTCCATTGTGTATATATCCACATTTTATTTATCTGTTCATTCACTGATGGACACTTGTGTTGTTTCCATATCTTGACTGTTGTGAATAATCCTGCAATGAAAATCGGAGTGCAGACATCTCCTCTACATACTGCTTTCATTTCCTTGGGATATATCCAGGAGGGAGGTTGCTGGATCATATGGTAGTTCTGTTTTTAATTTATTTTAGGAAACTCCAAATCATTTTCCATAATGGATAACTTAATTTACATTCCCATCGATAATGTGCAGGGTTCCTTTTTTTCTACATCTTCTCCAATACTTGTTAATTTTTGTCTTTTTGATAATAGCCATTCTAATAAGTGTGAGGTGATTATCTCACTGTGGTTTTAATTTGTATTTTCCTGATGATTAGTGTTATCGAGCATTTTTCATATATCTGTTGCCCATTTGTATGTTTTCTTTTAATAAATGTCTATTCCAATTATTTGACTCTCTTTTTAACTGGGTTATTTGGTTTTTTTACTTCTATTGAGTTGAATTTCTTATATATTTTGGATACTGGCCCTGTATCAAATGTAGATTTGATAATATTTTCTCCCATTCCATGGGTTATTACTTCATTCTGCTGAATGTTTCATTGGCTGTGAAAATACATTTTTGTTCAATACAATCCTATTTACCTACATTTTATTTTGTTGCCTATGCTTCTTAGTTCATCTCTGAAAATCATTGCCCAGACAAATATCATATGTTGTATTCTACTAACGTTGTACTTAACAAGTCACACCTTTAAGTCTTTAATGCATTTTGAGGTGTTTTTTCATATGGCGTGAGATAAGGGTTAAATGTCATTCTTCTGCCTGTGGATATTTAGTAGTTCCAACATTTAATGAAGAGACTATCGTTTTCCCATTATGTGCTCTTGACACCTTTGTCAGAAATCAGTTGGCTGTAAATGCATGGTTTTACAGGCATTTTTATTGCATTTAATCCCTATCATCAGATCATGTTGAGTAGGCATGGACATCTTAACAATTAAGTCTTCCAACTAATGAACATGAGATATCTTTCCATTTATTTGTGTCTTCTTCCATTTCTTTCATAAATGTTTTATAGTTTTCTCTGCAGTGATGTTTCACCTTCGTGGCTAAATTTATGACACAATATTTTCTGTATTAGATCAAGTTTAATGTTTTTCAAAATTTTTATAAACTTGATTATTGTTGATTTATTTTCTTAGTTACTGAGTTTTATCAAAATCGTTTATATAATTGTGGAATTCTCCTCTTAGTTATGCTAATTTTTGGTTTCCACATTTAAATCTATATTATTAAGTATAAAATTTAGAATTATTATATCTTCTTGATAGTTTGATTTTAGTCATTGAAAAGTGTTGCTTATTATCTCAGTAGTTCCCCTTATCTTAAAATTTACTTTGTTTGTATTTATATAGCTATAGAGCAACTATATTTGAGATCATATTGGTTGTATGTCATTTTCCTTCAGGAATTCTGTGTTCTGGCTGGGTGCCACTGCTCATGCCTGTAATCCCAGCACTTTGGGAGGCCGAAGTGGGTGGATCACTTGAGGTCAGGAGTTCGAGACCAGCCTGGCCAACATAGTGAAACCCCATCTCTACTAAAAATACAAAAAATAGCTGGGTGTAGTGGCATGTGCCTGTAGTCCCAGGTACTCGGGAGGCTGAGGCGGGAGAATTGCTTGAACCCAGGAGGCAGAGGTTGCAGTGAGCCAAGATAGTGCCACCGCACTCCAGCCTGGGAGACAGAGTGAGACTCGGTCAAAAAAAAAAAAAAAAATTCTGTGTTCTTATAACAATACATACATATCTCCTGTTAGCAGCATATATTTTAAAATTAACCTGGTAACCTCTTACTTTAGTTGCAGCTCACATGTGTGCTAAATAATTAATCATATAATGCTGGTTTAAATATATCCCTCTACCTTTTTTTTTCCCTATTTTTGCTATCAGTTCTATCTTCTTTTTTTCCATTTCTTTGTCTTCTGCTAGATTAATACCGTATTTTTTCAACTTGTCACTTTTCATGCTTAACTCCTTTATGATACATTCCTTTACTCTTGTTTTTATTATTACCTTAGAAATTACTACATTTGCTATTAATTCATTAGATTGTTTGACTATTTGATTATTAAATAAATGAACAATTTTACACTTTCACAGAGTAAGGACTTTTTATAATATTTTAACTTCAATTAACCTCTACCTTCAATAGTTTTTTTCATGTTATGTATTTAATGATTGGTACATTTTAAAGCTCATCAGTTTTTCAGGTCATTTTATAAATTCAATATTTATATATTAGCCATATATTTACACTTTTTGTTGAAAATCACTTTCTTGAATATCTTTGGTTTTACCTTATATCATATGCTTTTTGTCTGAAGAATGATTTTTAAGGTTTCTTTTAAATGTGACTCTATGCTAATGAGTAATCTTTTTTATTCTTCATCTAAAAATGTCTTTATTTTCCATTGATTTGTGAAGGATATTTTCAGTAGTAATATAATCCCGCATTGGCTATTTTTTTTCAAATAACATTTTCTTATCTTGTCTATTGTTTCTTTCGAGAAGACAGACAGTCTCATTGTTGGTTCTGTAAAGGAGTTGTTGTATTTTATTTTATTCACTGTTTCTCATATTCTTTTCCTGTCTTGGATCTTTAGCAGATTTCTTATGATGTATAAAGAATGATATTATTTATAGTTATACTATTTGGCTTTCACAGTACTTCTTGGATGTTTAGCTTAATGTCTTTTATCGATTTTGGAAAACTCTATGCTTTTCTCTCTTCAAATATATATTTTTGCCATTCTCCCTTTGACTTTTCTCAAGACCTCTTATTACATATATGTTATATTCTATTTAAAACAGTTTTTATACTTTTAATCTTTTTAATTTATTTTGTTATTCACATTTTTACTTAGTTTTGGTTTTAAAATGTCTGGTACATTTGAATTCATTGATGGGTTCAATATTTTATGTTATTTTCCTCATATTTTCTTGGGCTTGCTGTGGATTGAAAGTTTGTTTTGCCCCAAAATTAATACGTTTAATCCTAATTCTGAATGTGATGGTATTGGACAAAAGGCCTGTTGGAAATAATGAGGTTATGTAGGTGGAGCCCTCATGAATGAAATTAATGACCCTATAAGAAAAAGCGGGAGAGAGAGATAATCTCTCACTTTACTATGTGAAGATAGGGCAAGAGGCAGCCATCTGCAAACAAGGAAGAGAGCCCTCACAAGGAAGCAAATCAGTCAGAACCTTGATCTGGAATTTTCCAGCCTCCAGAAGTGTGAAAAATAAATATTTTTTGTTTAAACTACTCAGTCTATGATAGGAGCCAATCTAAAAAGGACTTCATCTTTTCAGTTATTTTATAGGAAAATAATAAAGTACTCATCAGGTCTTCTTTTCTCCCTCCTCCTCCTCCTCTTCTTCTTTTTCCCTCTTCTTCTCTCTTCTTCCCTCTTTTTTCATTTACATCATTTCTATCTTATATTTTATTTCATACTCATATTTATTTTAAAATCTATATCTGATTATTACAGTGTATTTTTCTCTTGCTAGTTTGTTTCTTTTATCTGTTTTATTTATTGGCTTTTGCTTATCTGTTTTTATATGTTGATAAGACTGGCAATTATTGTGGAATGTTGAAAATTTTTGAAATAATTTGTCTTTGAAAAATAAATTCATAGATAATTTACTCTTCATTTTAGGGTGCAGTCGATATAGGAGCATATCATCTCCTCTAAGAGGAACCAAGGGTTGAGATAATTTGAAGCTCAGCTTGGGTCTTTAAAGGAACTGCTCTAGTTCCAGTCTACCCTCACTCTTATAGAAGGATTCTAACCTAGGAATTCCAGTGTAGGAAATTTTCTCAGGCACCTTCTTCTTTGAAGGACCTTGAAGTCCAGTTATTCTCAGTCTACTATCAATTGCTTTGGAATTCACTAATACCTCAAGGGAAAAAGCTATTTTATATAGAGAGATCCTCATTTTGTAATTCTTTTAAGTAGTTGCTGTCCTGAAATTTATATAGTGCCTCAACTCGTGCATTTATTTATTGTGTTGAATATTTTGGCCAACTTGTTAAGATTTGTTTCTTGTTTGATTTCATGAGAGAATATTTCTGGAACAAGAAAGTTATTCATTTTTATCCTAAATGTCTTCCATTTTTATCTTGACTTGTGCAACTCTGGGCTTGGTCTCCCGGTATCCATGCTCTAAAAGCGGATGGTTATCAATGTGGCATTTGCTTCTTTCTTCAAATGCCATCAAGTTGAAAGTCACTTTAAGTAACAATCTGTTCTTCCTATATTTACTTAGTTTGGGCTTTAAAATGTCTAGTGTGTTTGATTTCATTTATGGGTTCAACATTTTATGTTATTTTCTTCATATTTTATTATTTTTTCCTCTGTTCAGTCAGTTTGTGTCAAAGTATATTTGACATATTACTAGAGACAAAAGGACATTTTAAATATATTAGTTATTTTATTTAAAATATTTTTTTAAATAGTGGTTATTTTGAAACCTTAAAAATAATAGCTAAAATAGAGAAAAAAATGAAACTTATTATTCAAGAAATTTCTATTCATGAAAGATATTTCTTGGCTTAAATCTGGAACTGAGCTACATAAAACCATGGAATTATAAAAGTGATAAATGGATCTGTCAATTCCAGATCTACACACCCAATCCACTGATTGTAAAATTTTAACTTTAATTTTAATATACTTAAAAAATATTATTATATTTTATTCTCTTTCAAATATACTTTGGGCATTTTTCATAGTGTTTTGCTATTATTTGTGGATTGCTTTTTACATTTTCTTTCTTTAAATATATATTTTTATTCTGCCTCTGATGATTCCAATATGTGAGGTTACCATAAATCTGACTCTCCTCTTGCTTTTGCTTCCTCTAGGTTTCACTTTTTCTAACTTATTTTTCTTTAATTTTACTTTTTTTCAGTTGTGCCATCAATCACTTTATTTTTAACAATTATAATACTTTATGGTCTAGTTTGATATATCTTCCCCCAACAGAGGATATGCATTTGTTTGTAGCAGATAGCTCATGCCACTAATATACAAGAGCATTTTAAATTAAAATGTTGGTCAGGCATGTTTTCTCAGTACTCAGCTACTGTGAATTTGTGTTGCTGACTCCTTTGTAAGCAGCTCTTTAATTATAAATTCTCAGGTGAGATTTTTCACTCCCTTATGTAAATATAAGAAAAAAAGATAAATTCTTATTTTTCATGGATAATTTTCTGGTATTGGGTAGTGAACTGGCCGCTGTGACACAACAGAACTGTGAAAGCAGACAGATGTGAAAATGAACCTAATTGCTTTAGAGGCAATATATTGATTATATACTAGGACCTTTCCACTTACAATATCTTTCTGTAAAAGTGCTCATATGTACATGACAAATGTTTCATTACTTGGAGAAAATAAAGATATACATTTAGATGGCAGAAATGTGTTAAACTTTGACCTATATTGTCTATTCCTAACAACAAGGCACAAGGCACTGGGAGATAGATACATGGTTATACTTACTGTTTCTTGAAATTCTTTAAACAAAAATATTTGTATATACATAAAGACACATCTGTAACAAACATATATGAAAGATGCAGAAATATAGGTAAGTTAGTTGTAGAAAAAAGGAAAATGCTTGAGGAGATTTTAAAAATATTAAATTGACTTTAAAAACACATGAAAAAATGCTCATCATCACTGGCCATCAGAGAAATGCAAATCAACACCACAATGAGATACCATCTCACACCAGTTAGAATGGCGATCATTAAAAAGTCAGGAAACAACAGGTGCTGGAGAGGATGTGGTGAAATAGGAACACTTTTACACTGTTGGTGGGACTGTAAACTAGTTCAACCATTGTGGAAGACAGTGTGGCGATTCCTCAAGGATCTAGAACCAGAAATACCATTTGACCCAGCCATCCCATTACTGGGTATATACCCAAAGGATTATAAATCATGCTGCTATAAAGACACATGCACACGTATGTTTATATTGGCACTACTCACAATAGCAAAGACTTGGAACCAACCCAAATGCCCAACAACGATAGACTGGATTAAGAAAATGTGGCACATATACACCATGGAATACTATGTAGCCATAAAAAATGATGAGTTCATGTCCTTTGTAGGGACATGGATGAAGCTGGAAAACATCATTCTCAGCAAACTATCGCAAGGACAAAAAACCAAACACCACATATTCTCACTTATAGGTGGAAATTGAACAATGAGAACACGTGGACACAGGAAGGGGAACATCACACACCGGGGACTGTTGTGGGGTGGGGGGAGGGTGGAGGGATAGCATTAGGAGATATACCTAATGCTAAATGACGAGTTACTAGGTTCAGCACACCAACATGGCACATGTATACATATGTAACAAACCTGCACGTTGTGCACATGTATCCTAAAACTTAAAGTATAATAATAATAAAATTAAACAAAATATATATGAAAATCCACAAAGAATAAAAATAGAACAAATAGCTTATTAATAAACTTTTCTACTCTAGATTGTCATTTTGGTATATTGTTGTTTGCATTAATAAGACTGTGATGTCCTTGAATCTTAATTGTGTCTAATGGAATAAAATGCATCTGTATGTAGGAGAAAAAATATATAAATAATAACAAAGTTATTTACTATGCATTGAACTTAGAAGAATTATTCATATTTTAATAGCTTTTTTATTTTGTCAACTAGCAAACTATAACAATTCAACAATGTACAAATCTGTCAAGGAATTCTACACGTTACTTCAAAGTAAAATTCCTGGACATCAAGGATAGAACAAGGCTCAGAGTGACTTGAAATCCAGTTTGTGTAATGAGGGCTTTAATTATCAGCTGGTGGCTGCATAAGCTTCATCTTCTCACTCATTGATTTAGGGCCTCTCTTTCCTTGTTCGGTAAAAATAGATATTAATAAAGACTTGAAGATTATCAATAAATAATAAAATGCTACTACATTTTGTATGTAAAAAGGGGTAAATAGCAAATAGACATCTTACAATTGCATGCCTTATAAGTTATAAAAAATAAACCAACTAATTTATTTGCTTCTGCATCTTCTGGAGAAAGGCTAGATAAAATATTTTGAACATAAATACACAAATTATTTACTTTCACTAAGTGTTAATGTCAAAGATTCAAGGAAATATAGAAATTTTTTATCTACACTGAGTAATCAGTCTATGAATAACTATAGACATTTATTACTTTATGCCAGCAACGTTTGCTATTTTTCAGATAAAAATCAGAGAAAAAAATATATAAATACATACAATTTTATTTTTCAATTTTATTTTGCAGCATAAAGAATGAACTTTAATCACTAAAACTTGGCTCAGCTCTCTAAAGGTAAATTAGATGCTAAATATACCATACATTTTTCCATGCATAATTTGTAAGTGTGTATAGAGAGTTTTTAAAAATAAAAATAGAAACTGAACTTTCATTTTTTTATGTTTTTATGTTAAATACATAACATAAATGTTTTATACATTTATGTTGTTATGTTATGTTAAATACATAATGTAAATGTTTTTATGTTAAATGTTTCCCAAAAAATTATGAGAAAGAGCAGGTAATAGTTACGTTTAATGAAAGAACTATTAGAATGTCATATCTTACTGGAATGTTTCAAGTTTTTTGAAAGTTTATATTGTTACTAAAATATATCATTCCTTTCACACCAATAATTTTAGGCAATATTAAATCAAGAATAAAATTAGAACTGATATATATATATCAGTATATATATATATTTACATATATCAGTATGTTATGTATCTACATAGATAGGAAGATAGATAGATAGATAGATAGATAGATAGATAGATAGATAGATAGATAGATATACTACCATGGAAGCACATTTTACTTATTAATAGTGAAGCATGTTTTACTTATGACAGTTGTTTTGAAAATCTAACATTATGTACAATTTCACTCTCTAGTGAAATTCCAATTTAAATATATATGACTATTATTTATGTTCTAATCAAATTGTATCAAAGCAAACTTGACGATATGAATTTTATGTTGCAGTTATTAGAGAGAATTGTTAAATAAAATTCAGTATTATTTGATTATTCATAACAAAAAGTAATTGTTAGCATAGGTAATTGTAGGATTCTGTAAACACAGGCAATATAATTTATATAAATAATACATACTAGCATCAAATGTAACTGATTTTTAATTTCTTTTCAGATCATGACAATCAACAGAAACTGTAATAGAATGTATATAAAGTCAAAATTTAAATGTATTTAAGAATTTCGTAAACTTCCCGAATATCCAAAGTGTTTACCAAATAAGTATACAAAAGCAATGATTATTTATATAAATTACTATAAAAATAGAAATTGAAGGTTAAAAGATGTCAGCAATTAAACCACCCCCACCCAAGTGAACAACCAAAATGCAGAAGAAAACTATATTATGATACGTCAGGTTAAATTAAATACCTGAAAATGCATTGTGGTATAAAAAAAATACTTTAAATAAGAAGTTCAAAAGATGATAAAAGGAGACAAGTAAGTAGGAATACATCTAACAAGGTTTGATCAAATCTAGGAAAGAAATTGAGGAAAATACAAATAGTCTTAGAAATTAAGCCTAAAATACAGGATACCTAAAAGAGAATGAAGCTGATAATCATGCAGGAAAATGAATAAGAAAATTAATATGTGGGAGACTGGAATATGCTTCCACAAAATATGAAGGATTTTTGAGCTGATTAGAAGACAATTAAGACAACTAAGAAGACGCAGATGCAGAAAAGCTCTCTGCACTCCCTAAATTTGCCTAAAAGCACAGCGTAGATTTCAAAAACAAGATAACCTGTCCCACTTTCTACCAGGAAGAACAAATGTTAACCACTGAAGGCAAATTTAGACCCTAATTGGCCTGATGATGGTACCAGAGAAATTTACATTCACAATCTTTACTAACTAGCCTTTCTCTCACATTTATTTGCCTTTCCCCAAGTTACTGCCCATAGAGATTCAAAGTCTTTTTCCTTTGTTTTGTCACTTATCTAGAAATTTGCTGTTTTTTAAGATGCTATATAAACTGTAATTCAAAGCCATGCTACTTTGAAGTGCTGTGAGCAGGTAAGGCAATATATATATATATGTAATTGGTGTCAACTCCAATAAAGATACATGGTTTTGCTCCCCAGTGTATAAGAGATACAATTTATTCAACTTGACATTAAGTGGCTACATGGTCTCTATCTGTGATGCTGTTTTAGTAAGGGCTTAGCTTTGGTCTCTACTGGAATATCATACATTTGACAAAGGCAAAGTTACATAGGCTTTTGTGACACAGAGTGCATACTTTTACTCCCACGCTTAGATTTCGTTGTTGGCGCCATGGCTATTCTACTCTTTGTTTCATTAGTGTGGCTGAGTGCAAGGTTTCTCTGACACTCATTGATTTCATAAGTCAATCTGTTAACTCACTTTTTTATTTTGTTTTGTTTTAGTTTAAAATGACAATAAAAATTGTATATATTTATGTGTACATTGTCCCCCCAGGTTTTTTTAGTGCCTCCTACAGTAGATTCTCTTTTATGGGTATTTACATGAGACAGTTTCACACACAGTGCATGTTCATTTGGGTCCATCTATACACCTCTACCCCAGATCTCTTTGTCTCTAATTTTCCTAATTCCATGCTTCTGGGCTGCTGACCAAATGTCATGGCACGCTGTATATCCTTATACCAGCCCAATATTCCCTCCACACAGAGTAGACATCCAATAGTACTGCTCTAGCTCTTTTAACTGGGAATTTTTCTCTCATCATTCACTATTAGAGCCCTCTTTGAATGAAGTGTTAGCATGGTAGCAGTAGATTTTTGGCTTGCACTATCTTATCAGATTGAACTATTTGTAAACTAAGCTGAAGAATTTTCTCCCATGTCTGCTGGTCACAGAGGACGATTCACAAGGCCATACATGTTAGGTAGGTGAAGCATAGGCCAGGGCTATACTTAACACATGGGTTACACTCACTTGGTCATAATGCATTAACATATTTATATATAGCTGGATCGGATTAGCTCACATACTATTGAAGATTTTCGCATAGATGTTTGTGAGAAATATTGGTCTGTAGAATTTTTTTTCTATCTAGTTTTTGCTTTTGGTATTAGGGTAATGCCGGCCTCATAAAAAGAGTGTGAGAATGATGTTATGTTTTATATTCTGAACATACTTTGTAGAACTATTACTAGTTTTTCTTATACCCATGTAACAAACCTGCACATGTACCCCCTGAATCTAAAATAAAAGTCGAAATTATTCTAAAAAATTGGTAGAAGTTATCTGGATCTGGACTTTCTTTGTTGGAAAGGCTTTAAACTGTAAATACAATTTTGGTATAGAATATAGGACAATTTAGTATTTTTATCAAATAATTTGGCATTCTTAATTTATTAGAATAAATTTTTTTAATACCATATTCTTAGCTTTGGGGTTGTGTTGATATTCTCTTTCTTTCCAGATACTTGTAATTTATTTCTTCTCTATTTATTATAGTCACTTTTGTTGATTTTTCAGAGAAACAGGTTTTGTTTCATTTGTTTTCTCTATTGTTTTTCAGTTGTCAATTTTATGATTTCTGTTTGTTATTCTTTTCTTCCTTATGCTTAGAGATTAATGTATTCCTCTTTTTAAAAATTTTCCTAAGTTGGAGGCTTAAACCATTCATTTGAAATCTTTATTCTTCTCTTGAATGACTATATAATGGCATAAATATCCTCCTGAACATTGCTGTATCTACATGCCAAAATTGTTAATATGGACTTTCATTTTTTAGACAACTAAAACATTTTCTAATTTTTCTTATAGTTTTCACCTTATTTGTTAATTATTTAGAAATGTTTTGTCTAATTTCCAAATATTTGGGGTGTTTTTAAGCTAGTTTGTTTTTCTTTTTCTTTTTTTTTTCATACAATTCCATTATGCTACTGGAACATACATTAAGTAATCCCAATTCTTTTAAATTTTTAAGGTTATATTTTCTGAATAAAGCAGAATATGATCAAGCAGTGGATGTTCCACATGCACTTGAAAGAATATCTACTCTATTTTCCTAGATTGTAGAAATGGCTTTTTGTTATTGTTGCTGTTGTTTTGTTTTCTTTTGTTTTGTTTTTGAGATGGAGTTTCGCTCTTGTTGCCCAGGCTGGAGTGCAATGGCCCAATCTTGGCTCACCACAACCTCTACCTCCTGATTCAAGTGATTCTCCTGCCTTAGCCTCCTGAGTAGCTAGGATTACAGGCATGCGCCACCATGCCCGGCTAATTTTGTATTTTTAGTAGAGACAGGGTTTCTCCATGTTGGTCAGGCCGCTCTCGAACTCCCGACCTCAGATGATCCACCCGCCTCCACCTCCCAAAGTGCTGGGATTACAGGAGTGAGCCATCATGCCCAGCCCTATATATGTTAATTAGACCAAGTTGGTTGGTAGTGATTTTCAGGTCTTCTATATCACAGCTTTTATGAAAGTCTGCTGTTAACACACATCTAGGATTGTTATGGCTTCTTGGATACTTGATACTTTTATTATTATCTATCGTTACTTATCATTGGTAATATTTCCCTGCCAAAGCCTATTTAGTCTGATGTTAAAATAGCTATTCCCACTCTCCCTTGATTACTATTTGCCTAATATATATTTTTCCATCCTTTTACCTTTAACATGTGTTTATATTTGAAGTGTGTGTTGTGTGTGTGTGACACATGTACACACATATAGGTAGATATAACTTTTTTATTTACTCTGATGATTTTGTGGTTTGATAGGTTTCTGTATATTTATTGTAATTATAGATATGATTAGATTGTAACCTGCTGTCTGCTAGCTATTTTATATTTGTTCCATGACTTCATTATTGAATTTTTATCCTTTTCTCTACCTTCTTATTAATTACTTAAACATTTCATTTTGTCTCCAATAATCATATTATTTATTATGTATTCTTCTTTTTAGTTGTTCTCTTAGTATTTTTTTTTAATTCATCAGAGTCTGACTTTAAATAATAGTGTACCTCTTTATTTATAATTTCAGTAGTTGACAATATGCCTTTAACTCTTCCTTCATAACCTTTGTGCTATTACTGTTATTTACAATTTAAGTAGTTGACAATATGCCCTCAACTCTTCCCTCACAACCTTTGTGCTATTCCGGTTATGTATTTTAATTACACTTATGCTATAAATACACACAATAGCAATGACTAATTTGCTTTAGAGAGTTCATAATCTTTACATGAATTAAACTCAAGAAAAAAAAATCTAGTTACATCCTTATTCCATTTCTAGCATTATTTAGTTTTGTGTATATGGATACATACTTATGTCTCTTATCCAGTTTCTACTGCCTAAAGAAGTTTACTAACATTCTTAATTCTCAACAATCTTTAATTCTGCTGGCAACGAATGTCCTCTGGTTTTTTTTTTTTTTTTTTGTAAGTAAAATGTATGGTGTAGTATTCATTGTTATTCCTTTGTATGTAATGTGTTTTGTTTCTATCACTGTCTTAAATATTTTTTTATCTTGGATGGTGAGCAGTTTATGTACAATATGCCCAAATATGCCTAGGTTTTTCATTTGTTTTGTTTACTTTTTTCAATTCTGTTTGGAATTACCTAAATGTATTGGTTTTGTGAGTTTCTGTTAATAAATTTATTATTTATTAAATTTAGTATCTTTCTTCAAATATTTATTTGGTTCCATTCCTTTCTCTTGAGATTTCAGTAACATATATTAGGCTGTTCTGAGTTCATTGAAATCATTCTTTCCGTTTCTAAAACAATTATTGTATTCCCATTTCATTGTTTTTTTATCATTTTCATGTTTCTGCTGAAATTACCTATCTGACATTGCATGTTATCTATTTTTTTCCACTAGAATCCTTAACATATAAATCATAGTTATTTTAAATTCTTATTGTGCAGTTGATATTTCTGAAGGGTCATCTCTAATTTCTTTTTATATTTCTAAATATTGAGCAGGGTATGATATGTGCATAGAAATAAATTTACAATGCATGCTCAAAATTACTGTTGATTATTAATGGTTTCCACAAAATTAAAACAGTGTATTAACATTGTAATCTTGAAGCAGTTAGGCACCAGTAAAATTGCAATTAGTCCTAACACTCTGATTTATATATAGCAAAAGAAAATTATACGTAGAATTAATGAGGTGGCCACAGTGTATCCAGTTAATTTGATTTTAAGTTGACAGCAGCATCGTTCATTAACTTTGGAAGAATATAATAAAACACACCAGAAGATAGAACTGGCCTAAAATTCATTTACATTATTCTTATCTTCTGGTTATAGAGTGTAGATAAGAAATTTAACTACAAAATATAAAAAATACAATTGATTTGATTATGAGCTTGATTTAATGAATTTTTCAGTAATGGATACTCCATGTTTTACATTTTTTTTTACTTGATTGTGGAAAATAAATTGTTCTCAATGTTGGGATCTGGCTCTATCTAAAGGACACTATATACTTTCCACATAAGATACATGATCAATGAAATTAGAAATTCATAGCACACTAATAATGTTCTGTTTTTGAATCATCTAGCAATGGTCAGAGAGCCTAATATACCAGAGAAAGCCAAATAGTTTATTCTAAGGTAGTGTTTTGCAATTGAAAGTAAGTATTCTACTTATCATTTCTAGTTCTGTATATTTTCTGGGACAAAGAAATAAATTTTATTATAATAAATCTTTGTTAAGTATTTCTAGAAGATATGGCTGTAAAAACATATACTTCCTGGCCTTTATATTAAATCAAATTACTTTTTAATTATTTTTAATCTCAATAGATTAAAATTTAACACAGACAGTAAAACACTGATACTGTCAAAACATGATTTGTTTGGTTATATGTAATATTCTTCCCTATTAAATCATACACCCTTCAGTCATGAAAAATTTTATTTCTACTATTGATGGAGCCCTAAATATGAATAAGGATATTGAATTTTCATACTATTAATAGCTTAACTATGAACAAGGGTGCTTGAATAACATCTCAAACTTATGGTTTTGTCTTGACTCAAGAGATTTAGAACAATGTTGACAAAATTAGTAAATATGGAAACTTGATCATCTTAGTATAAATTGTGTAACTATTCTTAGCTAAGATTCATTAAGAATATAATACATAAGACTCGAGAAAATCGTACAGATGCTAAAAGATATAGTAACTGAGAAAGTACCCAAGAATAAAAAGAATTAAATGATTCAAGGGCAAATGTATGATGAATTCTTCCTGCTATCAAAATTTTTTGGCATTACTTTTTAATCCAAATCCTAAATGTTGGCCAGTTCAGCATCATCAGTAATAATAACACCACTAGTTATAGCCTACACTTATTATTATTTTATTTGATAAGCATATCCTGCAACATGACCCAACATCCTGGATCATCTCTGAAATCCAGTAATTTTTCTTTTAAAAACTACTTTGTAGGTATGAAGCAGAGGCTCAGAGGATAAGTAACTTGCTCAAGATTACCCAGTTGTGATCTAAACACAATACTTTTTTCACAACATCATACTTTATTTTTAAATTACAGTATAAAATGGAAAAAGGCATGTCCTCTATCTTAAATAAGTAAACTACTTCAACTCCATGTATACTTTATCACAATTTTTCCTTTTTTACAAGCCCACAATTTTAAAGAACTCTGACATTTTATTTACCTTACTCTTCATATTCACTGTCACAAAACACTGCTATTTCTTCCCTTGAAATAGCTCTTCAGTGTGTCCTTTTCTGTATATTTCTACCACACTAATTCATATCCCAATCTCAGAACAACATAATAGTCTCTCCTTGCCTCTAGCTTCAAACTCATATCCCTGTCAGCTAAATTATTCCAAATTATCACGTTCATCAGAGGCCTCCCAGGATTAAATGTCTACAAAAATCTTTATGATTAATAATATAGTTCAGACTTTCATCATTGTGTTTCACACAGAAACCAGTGAAATTATTCTCATGATCCCCCATCTTGGTATCTTCTTATATTACTATCTACACAGTTTCCAGAGTAATCTTATTGAAAGGCAAATTTGAACATATTTTCCCTGACACCAAATATTCAGTGATTTCTAAAGATTTAAGGTTAAATCCAGACTCCTCTACATAGGAAGGATGCACTGATGTCCTGTTGGCCCTACCACAATTGCCCTGCACCAAGACTTATTAACTGACTTGTATGCATTTTCTCATGATCTCTTTACTTGGAATCTTTTATACAACGCTTTTCTCCTGTGTACTTACACTTTCTTCCCCATCTCCTTTACATTACTACACATCTCATTTTTCAGGTCCCAGCTCAAAAGATACCTACTTTTAAATGAATACTTTTCCACCCTATCTTTATATCCCAGAATGAATAGAACACATTTTTAAAATATTGAGGTAAAATTAACATATAATTAATTATTTTAATACACACAATTAGTGACATTTCCTACTTTCACATTGTTATGCAGCCATCACCTATATCAACTTCCAGAATGATTTCATCATCCCCCATAAAACCTCATATGTTAAGCTCATGCATTTAATATCATATCTAAGAATCCATTGCCAAATCCAAGATTACAAAAATTTACCCTTAAGTTTTCTTCTAAGCTTCAGTTTTGGTGTTGTATTTATGTCTATGTTTCATTTTTTTTATTTGGATACATGGTGTAAGATCTTGTATACAGATATCTCATTATACCAGGAGCATTTGTTGAAGAGACTATACTTTACCTGTTGAACAGTCTTGGCACCTTTACTGAATTGGCCAGAGATGAATGGTTTTATTTCTGGACTCTCATCTCTATTCCATTGGTTTATATGTCTATTCTTATGCCAGTAACACACTTGTTTGATCACTGTAGCTTTGTCATAAATTTTGAAATATGGAGGTGTGCATCGTTTACTTGCTTTTTTTTTTTTTTACCAGACATTTGTTCAAAGGACTTACTTTCATTCCATATGAATTTGGCATTCAGCTTTTCCATTTTCGCAAAAAAAAGTTTGTTGAAATTTTAATAGGGATTATATTGAATCTATAGACCACTCTGGGTAGTATTACCAATATTAAGTTTTCCAGTCCATGAACACATATTGTTCTCAACTTATTTAGATCTTCTTAACTTCCTTCAGCAATGTTTTCAAGTTAATAGTGTACAGGTATTCCACCAGCCTGGTTAAATTTAGCCCTGTGTATTTTGTTTTTTAGATGCTATTGTAAATGGGCTTGTTTTATTAAATTGTTTTGGGATTTTCTATTGCTAGTGTACAGATATGCAACTGATTTTTGTATGTTAGCTATGGTTACTGTACTTTGCTGAAAAGTCTATTGGCTCTAGCAGTTTTTTTGTGGATTCTTGAGGTTTTTCAATATATAAGAAAACATCATCTGCAAAAGGTTTACTATCTCCTATTTAACATGGATGCCTCTTATGTCTTTTTCTCTCTTAATTTCTTTGACTGGAAGAGGCACCATCAGTACGATGGTGAACAGAAGTGGCAAAAATGAGCATCCTTATTTTTTGTTTCTGATCCTCGGAAGAAGGCTTTCTGTCTTCCAACATTGAGTAATCCTAAGTGTAGGCTTTCCATAAATGTCCTTTACCAGGTTGCTGGAGTTCTTTCCTATTATTAGTTTGAATATATTTTTGCAAATTTATGTTGAATTTTGTCAAATGATATTTTCTGAAATAATTGGAAAGATCATGTGGGGTTTTTTCTTCATTCTATTAATGTGGTGTGTTATAAGTATTGACTTTTGTATGTTGAACCACCCTTACTTTCCAAGTATAAATCCAACTTGGTCATGATATGTAATCCTTTTAAAATGCAGCTGGATTGGTTTGTTACTATATTGTTGAGAACTGCCATATCTATATGTATCAGTGATATTTGGCTGTAGTTTTCTTGTGGTGTCTTTGGCATTAATTATATTTTTATTCTACTAGGGTCAGAGAAGATACTTTATATGATTTCTACCTTCTTAAATTTATTGAGAATTATTTGTAGCATAATATGTGATCTATCCTGAAGAATATTGCAGTCTCCAACTATTATTATAGAAAAGTCTATTTTTCCTTTTTAGTCTGTCAATTATAATGTATATGTTTAGTGGCTCTCTTATTTTTTGTGTATCTGCTTGTAACTCTTCTGTCTTCATGAAGAATTGACACATTTATCAACATGTAATATCACTCTTTGCCTCATGTAACAGTTTTTGACTTAAAATCTGTTTTGCCTGATATTAGTATGCCCACTGAATTTTGGTTGCTACCTGCATGGAATGTCTTTCTCCATCTGTTCATTTTCAACATATTAGTGACTTCGTATTTGAGCCAGTCTCCTATAGACAAAATATAGTTGGATCATTTTTAAAATCCATTGTGCAGGCATTTGACTTTTAATAGGCAAGTTTAATTTAAAAAAAAAAAAGAACTTCTGCACCACAAAATAAACTATCGAGAGATTGAGCAGACAACCAACAGAATGAGAGAATATTTTCGTGAACTATGCATCTGTGATGGTTAATCCTGAGTGTCAGCTTGATTGGATTAAAGGACGCAAAGTATTGTTCCTGGGTGTGTCTGTGAGGTTGTTGCCAAAGGAAATTAACATTTGGATCAGTGGACTGGAGGAGGCAGACTCCCCCATACTCCAAGTGGGCACCATCTAATCAGCTGCCAGAATAGCCAGAATAAAAAGCAGGCAGAGGAACTTGGAGAGATTAGACTGGCTTAGCCTCCCAGCCTATGTCTTTCTCCCATACTGGATGGTTACTGCCCCCGAACATTACACTACAGGTTCTTCAGCTTTTGGACTTGGACTGGCTTCCTTGCTCCTCAGCTTGCAGGTGGCCTATTGTGGGACCTTGTGATCATGTAAGTTAATGCTCCTTAATAAACTTCCCTTTATACTTTATATATACATCTATCCTATTAGTTCTGTCTGTCCAGATAACCCTAACACAGATTTTGGTACCAGCAGTATTTCCAAAGGAACAGAATATTAAGGATAGAGTTCTTTCATTGGTTTTTGGGTTTCTGGAGTTGGCTGCTTAATATGATTAGACCCAAAAATGCTAGGGACTCCACTTCTAATAGTATGGAGAACACTGATAGTCCTTGGCATGAACTATTTAGAGAGTTATGTAAAATAAATGTATTTGACACCCCTGATTCACTACTCGTGAGAGGCAAGGAGTTTAGTGACTCTATACATAATACCTTTGACCATATGTGGAGAACCAAGGAACATAATGAAGTTGGTTGGTTGCTCCTAAATTCACTGGACAAAGTGATGAAAGAAAGTGATGAACTTGGGGATTCTAACTCCTGGCTTTGGAAGCAGATACTGAGGCTCAAATCTGCTAAGATTACCCTTAGTGAGGGATTCTTATCTCCTGTAAAGAAAGAGCTAAAATTGTGCAAAATCAGTCACAAGTTCTTATCATGAGAGTGGCTGACCTAAAACAAAAGGTGCATACACAGCTTCACCAGGTGTCTACTGTTAAATTGAGGGCATTGATTGGAAAAGAATGAGACCCTGCAACTTGGAATGAGGTGTGGGAGGACTCCAGTGAAGCTGGGGACACCGAGCTTATGAACTCTGATGAAACTTTTGTGCCAGGAGAAACAGCTTCCCCAGCCCCAGTAGTAGCAACATCCCCTTCCTGACCTATGCTGTCATCAGCCTTTCCACCTTTGTTTAAGGAGATAAAACCTATGCTGCCTGAGGCAACAGTGATGGCCTCCCCTGAGGCAGTTGCCAGGCAAGACAATGTTGATTCTTCTCAGTACCCACCACCAACACCTCTGTTTGCTACTAGACCTATAACTAAAGTCCTGGCAGGCCCCTAGAGGTGAGGTTCAGAGTGTGACTGACAAGGAGGTGTACTACATTTGAAAAAAAACTGCTTGAGTTTTCTAATTTTATAGGCAAAATTTGGAGAACAGGCATGGGAATTAATATTAAGGGTATGGGATGATGGTGGAAGAAACTTAGAGTTGGATCAGGCTGAATTTATTGATTTGGGCCCATATAAGTAGGGATTCTGCATTCAATGTTGCAGCTCAGGGAGTTAAAAAGGGTTCTAACAGTTTATTTGCTTGGTTATTTGAAATGCGGATTAAAAAATGGCCTACTTTGAGTGAGCTGGAAATGCCTGATCTCCCTTGGTTTAATGTAGAGGAGGGGATCCAAAGGCTTAGAAGAATGGGATACTGGAGTGGATTAGTCACTTTAGACCTATTCATCCCAGCTGGAGGGTCCAGAAGATATACCCTTGACCAATGCCTTGCTAAATAGATTTGTGAGGGCAGTGCCTGCATCATCGAAGAGCTCTGTGACTACTCTTCTCTGTATGCCAGATCTAATAGTGGGAACCACAGTCACTCAACTACAAAATTTAAATGCAATGGGAATAATTGGATCCTGAGGTGGTAGGGTCCAAGTGGTGGCACTCAATCTTCAAAAGCAAGGTGGACATAGCTACTATAATGGACAGCAGAGGCAAAGAGCAATCAGATGTTTGACTCATGTAGAACTCTAGCATTGGCTAATTAATCATGATATTCCTAAAATTGAAATTAATAGGAAGCCTACTGCATTCTTACTTAATTTACATAAGCAGAAAACTTTGAGGTCAAGTGGAAAAAAAGACTAATTTGGATTATAAACACAGAGAATCACAGCCCCTCAATCAATTTCCAGGTTTAAGCCAGTTTATAGACCCAGAACCCCTTGAATTAAAGGGAGGCTGGCTCTTCTTGAAGAAGGACCCCACTACACTACTGTCAATTTATGCTGTTAGTCTCTCTCCCATCCTTACCCAAGGAGGCCTCCGGCCTTTTACCAGGGTAGCTGTGCACTGGGGAAAGGGAAATGATCAGACATTTCAGGGACTACTGGACACTGGCTCTGAGCTGACGGTGATTCCAGGGGACCCAAAACGTCATTATGGTCCTCCAGTTAAAGTAGGGGCTTACGGAGGTCAGGTAATTAATGGAGTTTTAGCTTAGGTCTGACTTACAGTGGGTCCAGTGGGTCTCCAGACTCATCCTGTGGTTATTTCCCCATTGCCAGAATGCACAATTGGCATAGACGTACTTAGCACCTGGCAGAACACTCAAATTGGCATCCTGACTGGTAGAGTGAGGGCTATTATGTTGGCAAAGGCCAAGTGGAAAGCATTAGAGCTGCCTCTACCTAGAAAAATAGTAAATCCAAAACAATATCACATCCCTGGGGGGACCGCAGAGATTAGTGCCACCATCAAGGACTTGAAAGACGCAGGGGCAGTGATTCCCACCACATCTCTGTTCAGCTATCCCATTTGGCCAGTGCAGAAGACAGATGGATCTTGGAGAATGTCAGTGGATTATCATAAGCTTAACCAAGTAGTGACTCTAATTACAGATGCTGTACCAGATGTGGTTTCATTGCTTGAGCAAATTAACACATCTGCTGGTACCTGGTATGCAGTCATTGATTTGGCAAATGCCTTTTTCTCCATTTATGTCTATAAAGCCCACCAGGAGCAATTTGCCTTCAGCTGGCAAGGCCAAAAATATACCTTTATTGTCCTACCTCAGGGGTATATCAACTCTCTGTCTTTGCATCCTAATTTTATTCAAAGAGACCTTGATCACTTTTTGCTTCCACAAGATATCCCACTGGTCCATTATATTGATGACATTATGCTGATTGGATCCAGTGAGCAAGAAGTAGCAAACACATTGGACTTATTGGTGAGACATTTGTGTGGCAGAGGATGAGAAATAAATCCAACTAAAATTCAGGGACTTTCTACCTCAGTAAAATTTCTAGGGGTCAAGTGGTGTGGGGCGTATCGAGATATTTCTCCTAAGGTGAAGGATAAATTGCTGCATTTGGCCTCTCCTACAACCAAGAAAGGCGCAACGCTTAGTGGGCCTATTTAGATTTTGGAGGCAACACATTCCTCATTTGAGTGTGTTACTGCGTCCCATTTATCAAGTGACCCAAAAGGCTGCCAGCTTTGAGTGGGGTCCAGAACAGCAGAAGACCCTGCAAAAGGCCCAGGCTGCTGTGCACGCTGCTCTGCCACTTGGGCCATATGACCCAGCAGATCCAATGGTGTTTGAGGTGTCACTGGCAGATAAGGATGCTGTTTGGAGCCTTTGGCAGGCCCCCATATTTGAATAACATCAGAGGCCTCTAGGATTTTGGAGAAAGACCCAGCCCTTTTCTGCAGATAACTACTCTACTTTTGAAAGATAGTTCTTGGCCTGTTACTAGGCTTTGGTGGAAACTGAACATTTGACTAGGGTCATCAAGTCATCACGTGACCTGAACTGCCTATCATAAACTGGGTGTTTTCTGATCCATCTAGCCATAAAGTGGGTCATGCACAACAGCTTTCCATCATCAAATGGAAGTGATATATACATGATTGGGCTCAAGCAGGTCCTGAAAGCACAAGTAAGTTACATGAGTAAGTGACTCAAATGCTCATGGTCTTCACTCCTGTCACCCTACCTTCTCTCCACCAGCCTGCACCAATGGCCTCCTGGGGAGTTCCCTATGATCCGTGGACAGAGGAAGAGAAGACTAGGGCCTGGTTTACAGATGGTTCTGCATGATATGCAGGCACCACCCAAAAGTGGACAGCTGTACCACTACAGCCCCTTTCTAAGACATCACTGAGGGACAGTGGTGAAGGAAAATCTTTCTGGTGAGCAGAACTTTGAGCTGTGCATCTGGTTGTGCATTGTGCATGAAAAGACAAATGGTCAGATGTGCGATTACATACTGATTCATGGGCTGTAGCCAATGGTATGGCTCGATGGTCAGGGACTTGGAAGAAGCATGACTGGAAAATTTTTGACAAAGAAATTTAAAGAAGAGTTATGTGGATGGACCTCTCTGAGTGGTCAAAAACTGAAGATATTTGTATCCCATGTGAGTGCTCACCAATGGGTGACCTCAGCAGAGGAGGATTTTAATAAGTGGATAGGATGACTCCTTCTGACGACACCACTCAGCCTCTTTCCCCAGCCACCTCTGTCAGCACCCATTAGGCTCATGAACAAAGTAGCCATGGTGGCAGGGATTGAGGTTACTTATGGGCTCAGAAACATGGACTTCCACTCACCAAGGCTGACCTGGCTATGGCCACTATTGAGTACCCAATTTGCCAGCAGCAGAGACCAACACAGAGCCCTTGATATGGCACCATTCCTCAGGGTGATCAGTCAGCTACCTGGTGTCAGGTTGGTTATGTTGGGCCTCTCGCATCATGGAAAACGCAGAGGTTTGTCCTCACTGGAATAGACACTTACTTCTGATATGGGTTTGCCTTTCCTGAATATAATGTTTTTGCCAAGATTACCATCCATGGACTCATGGAATGCCTTATCCACTGTCATGGTATTCCACACAGCATTGCCTCTGACCAAAGCACTCACTTCATGGCTAAAGAAGTGTGGCAGTGGGCTCATGCTCATGAAATTCACTGATCTTACCATGTTCCCCATCATCTTGAAGCATCTGGATTGACAGAACATTGGAATAGACTTTTGAAGTCACAATTACAACACCAACTAGGTGACAATACTTTGCAGGGCTGGGGCAAAGTTCTCAGAAGGCTGTGTATGCTCTGAATCAGTATCCAATGTATGCTACTGTTTCTCCCATAGCCAGATTTCACTGGTCCATGAATCAAGGAGTTAAAGTGGAAGTGGCACCACTCACCATCACCCCTAGTGATCCATTAGTAAAATTTTTGTTTCCTGTTCCTGTGACATTATGTTCTGCTGGCCTAGAGGGCTTAGTTCCAGAGGGAGGAATACTGCCACCATGAGACATAACAATGTCTCCATTAAACTGGAAGTTAAGATTGCCACCTGGACACTTTGGGCTCCTCCTACCTTTAAGTCAACAGGCCAAGAAGTGAGTCAATCCTAGGTTGATTGACCCAGACTGTCAGAATGAAATCAGTCTGTTACTCCACAATGGAGGTAAGGAAGAGTATGCGTGGAATACAGGAGATTCCTTGGGATGTCTCTTAGTATTAACATGTCCTGTGATTAAGGTCAATAGGAAACTACAACAGCCCAATCCAGGCAGGACTGCAAATGAAACAGACCTATCAGGAATGAAAGTTTTGGTAAAAAAAAAAAAAAAAAAAAAAAAAAAAGAAGAAGAAGAAAAAAAACCCCTCAACCTCCTGAGGTGCTTGCTGAAGGCAAAGGGAATACAGAATGGGTAGTAGAAGAAGGTAGTCATCAATAACAGCTATGACCATGTGACTAGTTGCAGAAATGAGGACTTTAATTGTCATGAGTAATTCTTCCTTTTTTTTTGTGAAGAACATGTTTGTGTAAGTATACACTTGTACTAAGAAAATATCTTCATTTTATTGATTGTTTCCTTTATCATATGACATAAGATTTATTGACTTCATATCAGCATTTAAGTGTTGTTAGCTTTATGTAACAGCATTTGGTTTGGGGATTGGTGCATTTCTGGTTCTATGAAGGATAGTTGTATTATGTTAGGTGTAATTATGACCTTATTATTGTCTTTATGTGAAGGTTATGTATGATCTCAGGAGATGAATATAGGTTTAAGTTGACAAGGGGTGGACTTGTGATGGTTAATCCTGAGTGTCAATTTGATTGTACGAAGGATGCAAAGCATCGTTTCTGGGTGTGTCTGTGATGGTGTTGCCAAAGGAGATTAACATTTGAGCCAGTGGACTTGGAGAGGCACACTCACCATCACTCTAGGTGGGAATCACCTAATCAGCTGCCGGTACAGCCAGAATAAAAAGCAGGCAGAGGAACATGGAGAGATTAGAATGGCTCAGCCTCGCAGCCTACATCTTTCACCCATGGTGAATGCTTCTGGCCCTCAAACATCAGACTCCAGGTTCTTCGGCTTTGAGACTCAGACTGGCTCCCTTGCTCCTCAGCTTACAGATGGCCTATTGTGGGACTCTGTGATCATGTGAGTATGATACTCCTTAACAAATTCCCCTTTATATATACATCTATCCTATTAGTTCTGTCCCTCTTCAACCCTGACTAATCCAGCATCTAGAAAAGGTCTATTATCCAGCATCTATAAATAACTTAAAGAAAAGTACCAGAAAAAAAAAACCCATTAAAAAGTGGGGAAAGGACATGAACAGATACTTCTTAAAAGAACACATACACGTAGCCAATAGTCATATGAAAAAAAGCCTAACATCACTGTTGATTAGAGAAATGAAAGTCAAAACCACAATGAGACAGCATCTCATGACATCATACCAGTTAAATACTATTAAAAAGTCAAACAAAAGAAGAGATGCTGACAATGTTGTGGAGAAAAAGGAACACTTATGCACTGTTGGTAGGAGTGTAAACTAGTTCAACTGTTGTGGAGACAGTGTGACAATTCCTTAAAGAAAAAGACAGAAATACCATTCAATCCAGCAATCCCATTGCTGGGCATATACCCAAAGGAATATAAATCATTCCATCATAAAGACACATGAACACGTATGTTTATTGAAGCACTATTCACAATAGCAAAGACACAGAATCAACCTAAATTCTCATCAATAAGAGACTGGAAAAAGAAAATTTGGAACATACACACTATGGAATACTATGCAGCCATGAGAGGAATTAAGTCATGTCCTTTGCAGGGACATGGATGCAGCTGTAGGCCATTATCCTTGGCAAACTAATGCAGGAACAGAAAACCAAATATCACATGTTCTCAGTTATAAGTGGTAGCTAAATGAGAACACATGGACAAATAGAGGGGGAACAACACACACTGGGGCCTGTCAGAGGGTGAAGAGTGGGAGGAGCAAGAGGATCAGGAAAAATAACTAATGGGCATTAGGCTTAATACCTGACTGATGAAATAGTCTGTACAACAAACCCTATAACACAAGTTTACCTGTATAACAAACCTGCACATGTACCCCTTAACTTAAAATAAAAGTTACATAAAAAAGAACTCACTTCTGTCATTTCTTTGTTTTTTATCTTTGTGATAATTCAATTCCTCCATTATATAAGGCCTTCTTATTTTTACTCATTTTTTGTAGTGTTCCATTTTGGTTACTTTTTTGTTTTATTTTCTGTACATCTTAGTTATTTTCTTAGCTGTTACCTTATGGGCTACTTTTGGCCTTTAAAGTTAAAAACAAACTATCTTGAATTAATATCATCTTATCTTTAGAGTATACACAAATTTGGCTTCTGTAAACTTCCTTCCCTTTCCCTTTATATTGTTTGCAAAAATTAAACCTTTATACATTGTGTGCCCATTAACATAGATTTCTAAGTACTCTTTTCTGCATTTGTTGTTAAAATACTATAGGAAAAAAAGAGAAGTTAAAAACCAAAAATACAGTAATATTGGCTTTCTTATTTACCTATTAATTAGCTTTACTAGTGTTACTTATTTCTTCATTTGTCTTCAAGTTATAGTCTAGTGTCTTTAATGTATTCCTATAAGGTTCCTTTTAACATGTCTTATAAAGCAGGTCTACTCGTGACAAATTTCCTCAGTTTTTGTTTACTTGTAGTGTCTTAATTTTTTCTTCAATTTTGGAGAAAATTTTGTAAAATATAGAACTATTTGTGTACAATTTTTCTTCTTTCATCACTTTAAATACATGCCCATTGCCTTTGGCCTTGATGATTTCTGCTAAAACTTAGCCATTAATCTCTTTAAGGATCTCTTGCAGATGAATAGTTTTATCTTGCTACTTGTAAGATAGTCTTTCTGTCTTTGGCATGTATCTGTTTGATTATAATAATTTTGATCTTTTTGTCTTGGTCTTGGAATTCATTGAACTTTTTGTGTTTGTACATTCATATTTTTAATACAATTTGGAACCTTTTCAGCCACTATTACTCCAAATATTGTTCTGCCTCTTTCACTATCTCCTGGGCTCTGGGACTTCTGTTATGTGTATTTGGCACTCTTTATGGTATCCCATAGATGTCTTAAACAATGTTTTTTTCTTCATTCTTTTTTCTTTCTCCTCCTCATGCTAGATAATTTCAACTGACCTATCTGTAAGTTTACTGATTATTTTTTATACTTGTTCAAGTAACCCACTTAGACCCTAAAGTAAACTTTTCCTTTCAGTTATTGTACTTTGCATCTCTGGAATTGTTTTGGTTTATTTTATAATTCATATCTCTTTATTGATATTCTCTATTTGCTTGGCCATTATTCTCACGGTTTATTTTGATTCTTTTTTCATGTTTTTCTATATGTCTTTAGGCATATTTAAAACAGTTGTTTAAAATCTTTGTCTAGTAAGTCTAGTGTCTTACTCTGAAATAATTTCTATTCATTTCTCCTACAATTAAGCCCTACTTTCTTGTTTTATTTTGTTTTGTTTATTTTGCATGCTTCATTTTATTTAATGCTAAAAATTTGGAACATTATGCTAGGGAAACTAAGGAAATTGTATTTTTTTTCTCTTGAATGTTTGTTTTTGTTGCCTGATGTGGGTTATAGTTTTTGTTTGTTTAGTGACTATTTGAAACTACTTTTATAATGTCTATACTCTTTGTCAGGTTGTATTCAGCTAGCGCTTTGACAGAAATTTTCTGTAACATCTGTAGTCAAAAGGAAAGAGAAAAGAAAACAAAGAGAAAGAGAAATAAAATAAAATAAACGAGATAAAAACTTTCTCTATATTTGCAGATTGGCTCTATGTTGAGGTACTCCTTAAATGCTTAGCCTGACCATTTACAACACTATCTTCTCCTCCCAGGTTTCACTTAACCTAACAATTAGCCAGAGGTGAAAACTTAAGAGACTTCTCTGGTCTTCTGAGTGTGCATCTTGGCTTAAGCACATGCATTAATTTCTAAATGCTCCGGTATAGGTAGGAGGCTGACTTAAATGTTCTAATTTTCTAAAGAAACTTTGTCTCCAGCTAATCCTCTCAGACTTTTGGCACACTTATTATTTTCCTCAACTGTAAACTTCTGCCCTGTATGGCAGAAGTTTGTTCATTTACCTTACAACATTTTTTGAGGAATTTCCTTTGCATAGCCACTTTTCCATCCTGAAAAATTCCAAGGTAGGTAAAACAATGTCAGTTAACTTGTATGACTGCTTTAGGTAGGCCTAGACAAGTCAAAACATACAAACATAATTCTTTGATAATAAGATCTGCTCTATCTTTGGAACCAACAAGTCCAGTGGCCAAGCTGGAAATGTGGGCTGCTGCCGCTTTCAGACTGCCACTGAACTAGGGAGGAAGTGAGGCAAAGTCAAGGTAAAATACTGCAAAGCTTCTAAACCATTTTTAAGTTGCCTTTATCCTGGTGTAGTCTTTGCTTTGTTGCTATAAATATTTGAATATTTTCTATTTCTGATAAAAATTGGTTCTGACCCATTTGCTCAACTATGCAGTGTTTCTTTTGAGAGCCATGCCCTTGACCCTACCTATTCGACCACTTTCACTGATGTCCACCTGGATTGAGCACTTTTGATTATGTCTCAGCTTTTTAGCAACCTTTTTATCATTCCTTTTTTAATCTATTCCTCTCTTTCTTTATGCATCAGTATTCTACTAGCAGAAAAAAATATGTTTGAATGTTTCTACATTCAAATTTGACAAATTTTCTGTCCTATTTTGGGCTCTCATGGATGTTTAGTAAACAAGTGTGACATGTAATAGACTATGGTGGGGAGAGGCTCTTTACATTTTATCATACATAAATGTATAATTTAACAATGTTGTAGAACTATTTAAAAATATTATCATGGCTGGGCTTGGTGGCTCACGCCTGTAATTCCACCACTTTGGGAGGCCGAGGCAGGCATATCATGAGGTCAAAAGATCGAGACCATCCTGGACAACATGGTGAAACCCCATCTCTACTAAAAATACAAAAATTAGCCAGGTGTGGCGGCCTGTAGTATTAGCTACTTGGAAGGCTGAGGCAGGAGAGTCGCTTGAACCCAGGAGTAAGAGGTTGCAGTGAGCCAAGATCACGCCACTACACTCCAGCCTGACGACAGAGCGAGACTGTCTCAAAAGAAAAAAAAAAAAGAAAAAGAAAAAGAACTTCACACCTAACCCTCCATTCCAGTGAATCATAGTTCTTTTCTTAGTCTAAGTCAAATGTTTAGAAAAGATACTATTCACTGTTTACTCTCAATGTTATCTCAGTCACTTTTCTATCCAAAAAATTAGATTATGGTAGCATTATTCCAGAAAAACAGCTCTCATTATTCAAAATAAAATATCATGTTTTTAAGCTTTAAATTAGCCATTTGACCATTTCTTCCCTGCATGCAATCTCTATCTTTCTTAGATTTTAACAAACGTAATCACTCCTGGTTGTTCTCCGATTCTATTAGCCACTCCTCATTATCCTTTTCTGGTTCGTCTTAATACTCGATTCTGTTACAGATGGTGATGCACCTCATAGCTTGACCTTGGGTCCTCTATTTTCACACCCTCTTTCTGGGTGATACTATTAATTTTTGTGGTTTAGGTTAGTATTTATATAAATATGCTTACCACCCCTAATCTTACATCCCTTGAGATCTATGTACCCGATATTCAACAGCTACTTTGTATTTCCAAGTAGATGTCTCAAAGATAATTGAGAATCAACATGTTTAAGTTTTAACCAATTACTTCAATCTCAGTATCCTTTCAGGTGCTGTATTTAAATATATATTTCCCATATCCAAGAAGTTGTATAAAGAAGACACTGTGACATCATTTTTGAAATTTTTTTTTCACAAATTGTGCAAGTACAAAGACACACATATATACAACCGATCAGTAGGTCCTAAGTATCTTCAATTTCCTCATTTTTTCACAGTTGCCTCCTCCCTTGTCCACATTACCACTACCTCACCCCGTAACACTGAGATTGTCAATATATAAGGCTCATCACATGCACACTGATGTCTTTCCAATTTGTTCTTCACTAAAGGGCTTAAGTGCTATTTTGAAAATGTATCCTGATTATGTCATCCATCTAGCTTAAATTCTTAATATTTTTTATTACTCTTAGGATAAGGAATGATATCTATGACATGGCCTATGTGACCATAGGCAATATAATCAGATTTAGTTGTTTGTTGTGTACATTCTCATGTATATCCAGAGAAGTAGCTCTAGGTAAGACATAGAAAATGTTATTGAGCATTCCTTGACCTCATTTGTTTTAGAAAAGAAAAACACTGTGTTATTTTATTAGTAGTACATTATTTTGTAATATTTTCTCTATGACACTGGAGTTGTTATGAGGCTTAGATATAATAGATGTAAAGCATTTAATGCAGTAAGTACACATAGTACTTTGCACATTGGGAATGCACGAATTTAACTGCAATATAACTGTACTCACACAACAGACAGAGAGCCATGCATGCCATTATCTTTAATGAGCATATATCTCAGAGTAAACATCTGATGAGAAATGCAAATCACTTTTTCTTTCTGCTAATATCAGTTCTAATGTCTCTCATAATGTGAGTGGATAATATGTGTGTACATATAATAGTGATTGTGCAAGTCTTATTTCAAACCCTAACAGCACCAGTTGAAAGCCATTATGCTTTAGGCAAATTAATTGTCTTGTATGGACTTTAACTTCCTCATCTCTAAAATAAGAATAAACATAATAGTATCTATTGCACTAAGTTATGGTGAATATTAAATGAGTAAATATATATGAAGATCTTAAGCTTTAGTACATAATAAGCATTGATATCTGTTACCATCATTATTGTTACCATATTACTATACAGAGATATTAACACAGAATCACATAGATTAATTGAATGGTTAAAAGTCGTTAAAAAATAATATTAATTGGACTTTATTTTTGAGAAACATGCCAAAGATAAAAAACAGTCCATGTGTAAGATGGATGCCAAAACAGTAAAATTATTGTCATTATTGTCATCATCATAATTATATCCTAGATTAAAGAAGCATTTTAAGTGTATTTCGAAGTACTTAGTCAACTAAATGGATGTACATGCCTATTGAGAGATGAAAAATAACACATAAGCATGTTAGCCTACATACTGTTAAAGGTTGATGAAATAAAATATTTAATTTTTCTGGGCTAGAAGTGAGCCTAGATAATTCTATAAAAGACATAATATGCAGTGACAAATGTATAAACATTTTCAAATAGTGCCCAATATTGTGATCTAAGTCTTTCTTATTGTACTTTATGAAGTCATATTACCAGCATGATATTTCTTATCTTTGTTTTCTTAGAAATTCATCAATATTTTTAGCTGAGTGTCAGTAACAAGTGTCTCCTCTTATTCATCTTCATAGAACTCGTAATATTAACTGTGCCTGGAACTTAAGAAACAGACTGTAGAATACTGGCATAGGAAGCTATGAGGTTCTCTAGATTTTGTGATAATCTGAAAGTTCTTTTAAATGTCCAAAGTGATACATCAGAGTATAACTTTGTAAGTTAGCTTCAATACAATTTTCAAATAGGATGCTTATTCTTCTTGACCCTAGTAGAGTCATGCCTTGTTTAGCCTAAAATCAACCTTGAAAGGTGGGTTAATAAACATGTCCATCCTTTGATTCTCGTCACTTCACATTTTGCCATATTTACATCATGGCATTTTCATAATGAGGTTACAGTCTCTGTCAGATTAATATAGATTGTTTAATTAATTTTGCTCACATCATTAAAAGCAATGAGCTCCCTTAATGTCACTGAGATTGAAAATATAAATATAACATTAGAAAATTAAAACACTCATTAATCTCACTGTAGAAATACCTTAAATAAAATAGTACAAATAATTAATACTGACCTACTCAGCATAAAATTTTCAAGACTAAAATTCAGACAACTGGGGTTCGGTTTCAGAATTTAACATCAGTAGCTACAGCAGATATGGGTGACTTGTTAATACAGTTTTCATTGTCTTCATATAATTGAGTTAATTTTACACTTTTAAAGAATCACAAAGAAAAATAAAGTATCAAAAATGTGGAGAAAAATATGTTGGCACATTTAATACTAAGGAATCAGTAAACTAAACAATTGTCCATTTTAAGTAGATCAAAAGATTGATATATCATCACTGTACCAGAGAAACTATATTTCAGCAAACCAACTAGGAAACAAAAGACTATAGACAAAAATAAAAAAAAACATGAACTGGACCATAGCTACATCTTGGTTTCCTGTTCTATCCAATTAGTTTGATTAATGGTTTGTTAACTTATCACTGTCATAAATGTTCAGATGAAAGAGAGGGCATTATTATCAAAATTTTGTATGACACAATGTTTGTAATTGTATTGGTCATTCGATCAAAAAAACTAAAGCTACAAAATTCAGTAATAATGTCTGTAAATAAAGCTCTTTTTTAATCTTGTAGGACTTTGGAGTGGTTGGTTGCCGGCCTAAATGACACTTCTCTTTATAGAAATGTAGTAGAAACCTACTGGTCAACATGTCCCACAGAGGTAGGCAGTGCCTCTGTTAATTACGTAGTGTAACATCTAATTAAAAAAAGACACATACTAGCTACCTAGAAATCTACTAAACCCAATTTTTTTTTCATATCTTCTATTAAACCAAAGAACGCCACTTGTGTGAGGGCATAAATATCAAACATACAATATCAATAATGTAATCATAGAATGATATAAAGTGACACCCAAATGTCAAAAAAGGAATATTTGGAAGACAATTTTTCTTGAATCTCTTCATATGAAAACTTTAGCAGCAAATTTTCTCAGATATATTTCCATTCCAGAATACTACATAGATATGTCTCTCTTCAGAGACATTCCAGGGTCATAAAGATAGAGACAACTTCCTTGCCTCCTCAGAGAGATTTGCTTATGATCCAAGGTGATAAAGATAATGTCTCTTTGTGAAGGGGAAAATGGACAAGTTCACCAGCCACCCCTACATAAGATTAGAGATGATTTCCAATGCATGCAGGCTTTACCTGGCTCTCATTATGTCGCCTTGTGAGTGGGGATAAAGAAGCAAGTGTCAGAATGTTACAATCACTGTAAGTAGTAAGCTGTTTAAATCCATTTGGTCTGCTTGTCTCTTTATTCTACAATCTATGGACATGTGACAAACCAACCTAGCACCTGTTACTGCACAGCTGCTTAGAACTGTGTGATCACTTGACATAAATGGTATATTTAATATTTTATAATTGAAAAAATCAAGTTTTTTGAGATGAACTTATATGCAATGATATAACTAATTTTAAATGTGTGATTTGATGAGATTTAACATATTTATTGAGTTATGTAAACACCACTACAATCATGATAAAACGTCTTCATTAACCCTATATTTTCCTGTGCCTTATCGCAGTCAACTGCTGAACTCCATGCTCAATCCTCGGGAAATGCTGATCTGTTTCTGTCACTATATTTCTGTTTGTTATAAAATTACAGTATGTATTAGTTTGTGTTTGGGTGATTTCACTTAGAATAACTAATTTAAGCATCACCCATGTTGTAGAGTATATCAGCAATTTGGTTTTTTATTGCTGAATACTATCCATTGCATTGATATATCACAATGTGTTTATCCTTTTTCAGTTGATAGGCATTTGGGTTGTTTCATGTTCCTAGCTATTATGAGTAAAACTTCTGTAAGCATTGGAGTACAAACTGTTGTGCAGACATATAACTTTATTTCTCTTGGAAAATACCTAGCAGTGAGATTCCTGCAACAAATGGAAAATGAATGTCTAAATGTATATTGCTAAAAATGTACACTGTTTTACAAGGTAACAGAGTCATTTTGCACTACCACCAAAAATATCTGAAATCCAATAGTTCACATTCTTGTCAACAGTTGTCATTGTCAGACTATTAAAATTTAGCCAATTAGTCATTCTAATGAATGTATAGTAGTTGTATCTCCTTGTAATTTTAACTTGTGTTTTTCTAATTAATAATTATGCTGAACATGTATTTCATTTGTTTATTTCCTATCCTTATTTTTTTCTTGGTGAAGTGCTTGTTTTAATCTCATGCTGGAGTTTGTTGAACTACTTGGATAAATGAATCTATAATTTTCATTGAAATTATAAAATATTCAGTCATTATTCTTCGATAATTTTTTTCTGTTTCCCCTTCTGTGATTCCAATTATATGCATACAAATACTCTCTTCTTTATTAAGTTGTTTTTTTCTCTTTTTCCTCATTTTAGATAGTTCACTTTTCTTATTTTATTTTAACATATTCTAATGCATTTCTATTGCAGATATTTTCTTTTTTATTGATACAAGCTCTACTTAAGTCTTTCACATGTCTTCTAATTCTAACCCGATCATGTTCACATTTCCCTCTTCCATCTTCAACAAATAGAGGATATTTATAATAGCTGTTCTGAGGTCCTTATTTGCCAAATTTACTATCTCTGTCAATTATTGATCTTTTTTATTGATTTTTATTCTGGTAAGAGCTGTATTTCTCTTTTTATTTATATTATCAGAAAAATTTTATTAAATGCCATATGTATGAATTTTAACTTGTGAGGTGCTGAATTTTGTTTTATTCTTTGAAACAGTGATGGCCTTTGTTCTGAATTTCAGTGTTTTACTTGGAATCAGTTTAAAGCTTCTGAGTTTATTTTGTTTGTTTTCTTAGGGAATTTTAAGAGCCACCAGAAGTCAAGGACTAATTTGGCCCAACTACTGAGGAAAGATGATTCTGGGGCCTTTATAATTTGTCCAGTAGGAATAAGATCTTTCCCAGCTTTTTATGAGTTCCAGGCATTGCTTATCCTGCTACTTCCTGTGTGTTTTTTTCCCCAGCCTTAGATAAACTCCTCTCATCCATATGCAGGTCAACATTCAGTACTTTAATGCTCAAAGGACTTTGTGTATATAGAGAAATTTATAATTCATAGTTTGTCTAATGCTCAGTGCTAAATTAATAAAATATTGTTTTCAATATTTAACTATAAATTTTATAACAAAAAAACCAAAATCAATACATTTCTCCAATCAAGAATTCTTCATCAAACATTATTTAAAACTTAATTAAATTTATCCAAAATAATGATCACAATATATTTAAACTCTTGGCTATTTAAAACACCTGAAAAAAACTAATTATAAAAGTTTGATTAAAGTTACTACAGCTGCTACTGTTATTACATCCTGTGGATTTATTTGTTCATTATCCTATAGTCATTTAAATCTTATTGACATGTAGAAATACTTAGGTTTCTATATCAGGCTCAAGAAATAGGAACACTAACTCAGAGATTCTGAGTTGGGAAAGTCCAAGTGATTTTCAACTTAATTTTATGGTGAAAAAAATAGTTGGTTGAGTCTTCCATATTAATACAAAATTTTGGCTCATGAGGCTTTTTGTACTTAAATAATAAAGGGACTTATTATTTTATAATGTCCCTATTTGTAATGTCACCAACACTTCCCAAGACAATGGCATTTACTCTGTTCTGGAACAACCAATCCACTTCCCTTCCAAGTTTATTAAGTTAATATAAAGAGTGTTTGGCCCAGTTTACTATTTTATCATGATGCTTACTTGGCATCAGACTGTTCATTAAGAAGTTTCATCTCCCAGAAGGTGAGAGGCTAATTCTGTATATTTCATATCTATTATGGTTCATTTGGCTAATTCAACATTTTGCTACTTCTCACCTACAAAGCACAGGTTTATTTCCAATCTCGCCCCAACACGTTGGTTTATTTACAGTTCCACATATCTCTTTACCCAGCTGGAAAAAATAGATTTATACTATATAAAATAATATATAATAAAAGAAACCAAACACCTGCATATTATAGCATATACATATATAATACATATATATTACATATTATATACACATATATATAACAATTACATATGTACATATATGTCTATATATGTATATATTTTTACTTATAGCACATAATATATAAAGAGCTTAGGTTATTAACTAATCTTAATATTTATAAAATATTTTCATTTGTTAAGACCGTCCTGGCTAACACGGTGAAACCCCAACTCTACTAAAAATACAAAAAATTAGCTGGGCATGGTGGCGGGCTCCCAGCTACTTGGGAGGCTGAGGCAGGAGAATGCCCTGAACCCAGGAGGCGGAGCTTGCAGTGAGCAGAGATTGTGGCACTGCACTGCAGCCTGGGCGACAGAGCGAGACTCCATCTCCAAAAAAAAAAAAAAAAAAAAAAAGAATACATATTTTAGGGCTGAAGGTTTTAATTTCAATTTGCTATTTTTTGTAAACTAGGACTTTATCACAAACAAAAATGTATTATGACTAAGGAATTAGGCAATTATTTAGCTTGCCAAGGCATGTTGCTTCAGATTTCAGGGAATATCCAGAAAAATCACAGACTAATGATATACTTTCAGGTGTAGCAATAGACACATTGATAAATTAGGTATTCCCAACTAAACATCACTGTAATTGTAATCATGACAAAGATAAATATGCAGATCCTCCTTTTGGTTATGTGTCACATCTTCTGCCTTGCTAAATTAGCAATTTATTATGAAATTGCTATCTTAAAGAGCAATGTGTATCTCTCTCCATTTATTCGTCTACCCATCTCTATGTAGCAAAGTCAGAGGAAGAAAAAAAATACTAGTAGGCTACAGAAGATTATTATTTTCTTTAAATTACTTCATACATATATGTTTGTTTTTTGTTTTTGTAGTGGGGAAGATGGAAGGAGGTTGGCCATTGCATTGCTTCCAAGTCAAAAACTGTACAGAAGTTTTACTAAACAGACCACTGTTTTAGTAATCTAGTAAGAGATACAATAAAAATATAAAAATAATATAGTGAGCTCTTTTTTTTATCTTCATCTTTAATAAATCAGTTCTTGGATAGTGGGAAATCAGCTATTGGTAAGGTTAAAATGCTATGTATACATGTTCCCAAATTCCTCATAAATAGAAATCTGAAATGGAATCCTCACAATTTGTCAAGTTTACACTGATGTCAAGTGTTATGGTTTGGCTCTGTGTCCCCACCAAAATATCACCTTGAATTGTAATAATCTCCATATGTCAAAGGCAGGACAAGGGGAAGATAAATGAATCATTGGGGCAGTTTTCCACATGCTGATCTTTTGATAGTGAGTGAGTTCTCATGAGATTTGATAGTTTTGTTTTGTTTTTGTTTTTTACCTTTTTTCTTTCTTTTTTTTTTTGAGACAGAGTCTTGCTCTGTCTCCCAGGCTGGAGCGCAATGGCATGATATCAGCTCACTGTGACCTCCACCTCCTGGGTTCAATCGATTCTCCTGCCTCAGCCTCCTGAGTAGCTGGGATTACAGGTGTGCACCACCACATCCTGCTAATTTTGTAATTTTAGTAGAGACAGGGTTTCACCATGTTGCTCAGGCTGGTCTTGAACTCCTGACCTTGTGATCCAACTGCCTCGGCCTCCCAAAGTGCTGGGAATAGAGGTGTGAGCCACCACAACTGCCTGAGATGTGATAGTTTTATAAGGAGTTTCCCCCTTCACTTGGCACTCATTCTCTCTCCTGCTGCCTTATAAAGAGGTGTCTTGTGCAGTAATTGTAAATTTCCTGAGGCCCCTTCAGCCATGTGGAACTGTGACTAAATTAAACTTATTTCCTTAATAAGTTACCCAGTCTTGGGTACTTCTTCATAGCAGTGTGAGTACTTCAAATTGGTACCAGGATTGAGGCACTGCTATAAAGATACCCAAAAATTTGGAAGCGACTTTGGAACTAGGTATCAGGCAGAGGTTGGAACAGTTTGGAGAGCTCAGAACAAGACCGAAATATGTGTAAAACTTTGGAACTTCCTAAGGACTTGGAGGGGTCAGAAGACAGGAAGATGTGGGAAAGTTTAGAACTTCCTGGAGACTTGCTGAATGGCTTTGACCAAAATGCTGATAGTGATATGCATAAAGAAGTCCAGACTGAGGTTGTCTCAGATGAAGATAAAGAACTTCTTGGGTACTGGGGTAAATGTGATTCTTGCTATGCTTTAGCAAAGAGACTGGTGGCATTTTGCCCCATACTAGAGATCTGTGGAACTTTGAACTTAAGAGGGATGATTTAGGGTATCATCAATTTTTTTCCGGCAAGAAATTGTTAAGCAACAAAGTATTCAAGAGCAAGCAGAACATAACAGTTTGGAAAATTTGCAGCTAGACAATGCAGTAGAAAAGAACAACCAATTTTCTGGGGTGAAATTCAAGCCCACTTTAGAAATTTGCATAAGTAACATGGAAACAAATGTTAATCACCAAGACAATGGAGAAAATGTCTCCACGGCATGTCAAAGCCTGTTGAGGTAACCCCTCCTATCAAAGGCCTAGAGTCCTAGGAGGAAAAACTGGTTTTGTGGGCCAGGTCTAGGGCCCTGCTGCTGTGTCCAGCCTGGGACTTGGTGCCCTGCATTGCAGCTGCTCTAGCCATGGCTAAAACAGGCCAAAGTACAGTGCAGGCCATTTCTTCAGAGGTTGCAAGCCCTAAGCCTTGTGAGCTTCCATGTGGTCTTGAGCCTATTGGTGTATAGAAGTCACAAATTGAGGTTTGGGAACTTCTCCCTAAATTTCAGAGGATGTATGGAAATGCCCAGAAGTCCAGGAAGAAGCTTGCTGCAGGGATGGAGCCCTCATGGAGAACCTCTGCTAAGGCAGTGCAGAAGAAAAATATGGGGTTGGAGCACCCACACAGAATCCCCTCAGGGCACTGCCTAATGGAGCTGTGACAAAAAGGCTACCATCCTCCAGATCCCAGAATCGTAGATTCACCAACAGCTTGCATTGTGCACCTGGAAAAGACACAGGCACCCCACTCCAGCCTGCAAAAGTAGCCGGGAATGGGGCTGTACCTTGCAAAGTCAAAGGGACAAAACTACCCAAAGCCATGGGACACCACCTTGTGAATCAGCATGCCCTGGATGTAAGACATGAAGTCAAAGGAGATCATTTTGGAAATTTAAGGTTTAATGACTGCCCTATTGGATTTTGGACTTGCATGGGACCTGTAGCCTCTTTGTTTTGACCAATTTCTCCCATTTGGAATGGCAGCATTTACCCAACGCCTGTACTCCCATTGTCTAGGAAGTAACTAACTTGCTTTTGATTTTGCAGGCTCATAGGCATAAGGGACTTGCCTTGTCTCAGATGAGAATTTGGACATGGCTTTTGGGTTAATGTTGGAATGAGTTAAGTCTTGGAGGACTGTTGGGAAGGCATGATTGTGTTTTGAAATGTGAGGACATGAGATTTGGGAGGGGCCAGGGATTGAATGGTATGGTTTGTCTCTGTGTCCTTACGCAAATCTCATCCTGAATTATAATAATAATACCCATGTCTCAAGATCAGGACCAGGTGGAGATATTTGAATCATGGGGGAGTTTTCCCCCATGCTGTTCTCATGATAGTGAGTTCTCATGAGATCTGTTGGTTTTATAACGGACTTCCCCATTTGCTCTGCACTCATTCTCTCTCCCTCCATCTTGTGAGGTGGTGCCTTCAACCATGATGGTAGTTTCCTGAGGCCTCTCTAGCCATGTGGAACTGTGAGTCAATTAAACCCCTTTTCTTTATAAATTATCCAGTCTTGGTTATTTCTTAATAGCAGCCTGAGAAGAAACTAATATACCAAACCAAAAGTTAAAAATTAAATTTAGTAGTATGCTGCTCATTTCCACTACCAAAACATTAATGTACACATACTTCAGAATACTTATTATTTTTGACACTCTAACGGGAAAGAATCTGAGATTATAAAGACGTTTTTGGTGAGGTTAATCTGAGCAGCATTAGTGGCTAACATATTGGGAATAGGCAAACTTATACTATGGATCACTAACTAGAATATCCTTTTAATCTCCAGTGTCAGTTTCCGTAGTCACAAAATGAGGTTGCTGAGCTAAATGATCATTAATATACTTTCATATTTGATTATTCTTTTCTAAGCAGGTTTTAAGTTTTCAAATAAAGAAATGTTGATGAGAGTGGGTCTGCAAGAAAAGAAAACAGAGAAGCCTGGTTTAGGGTACTATGATTATTTTGCTTTTATATATATATATATGTATAGTATATATATGTATAGTATATATATATATATATATATATATATATATATATATATAGTATCACTTGCCAATAGGATGGTAAAATTCTTGTATTTTGGCTGTGTTAGAAAAAAATTGTTCTTAGTTTAACTTATCAATTCTATTTATTTTTTTCTACAATGCTTAAGAGAATGCACACTAAATGTATGTCAAGCCATACAATATTCATCAATTAAAAACAAGAAGAAACTTTATATGTACTCAGTGTATCTGAATAGATTCACTCTGTTCTGGCTCAGATTATTAATATAAAGATTTTTATTGCTTCTATATTTTCCTTTTAATCATTAGTTTAATTATCTCAAGCCCATATCTATTTTTTCTTCTGAGATAAAGTACTGCCACTAAATATTCAGGCTCCAGTTACATGTCAAGTAAATGGCCCTTGAAATCTAATCCTCTAAATCTTTAAATTCAAACACTTATTTCCAGAATATATCTGTGGCTCTAAGCTATTAAATACAAAATCTTCACATTTTGGCCTTCACTTACACATTGCACTTAAACCTCATTCCAATATTGGTGGTATTTTATTAGCAAATTTGATCTGCATCCATGGTCAGTGATCTTGCTGATTACCCAAACTTTACATATTGACATTTAAACAAACTTATATGATGAAATAGAATACTGTGTGGTTGGAGTAGGGCAATGTTGGAGGGCAGTGTAGGATTCTCAACTTTCTTTAGTATAAGGAAGGGAGATTCTGAAAGCAAACACATGATATATCAGGATCCCCCTCTTAGGAGCCTGTGGGCACCTACCCAAGCCTGGAAATAAAGGAATTAGTTCCTTCAAATAAATTCCAGGCACTTCACTAGCCCAGAGAAAAATCTTGGGTTCCTTCAAAAGAAATTCCAGGCACCTCACTAGCCCCGAGAGGAAAATAAGCAACTTGATAAGCAAGAAGGCAATAGTAGCTTAAAATTAGCCAAGGTAGCAACAATCACATTTTGTTCCCTAGATAAACTAAATACAACATCTTAACATATGTCTGAGTGTTCTTCAGAAAACTGGACCCCAACAAAATGGATCTGTGGGAATATAGACCCCAGCAAAGGGGAACTGAAATTTTACCACCATTCATTGTTCTAATTTCCTTCCTACAGTCCTGGAAAGTTGCAACCATGAGCCAGAGCTAACATTCTTTTCTGCTGACCCCAATTCCTTTTTAAAGCTTCTCTTCCTTAATCAATTGCAAATCAGAAAAGTTTTGATTCTTTCTATGGCCTTTAGTCCCCTGCCCAAGTTATTTCAGCCTTTTAGGCCAAAACCAATGTGTAATCTCCATGTATTGAACTACAATTTTGCCTGTAACTTCTGTTTTCCTGAAATTTACACCTGCCTTTTAAAATTCTTCCTTGTAAGCCATTGGAGGAGGTTAGGACTTAAGCTTTAGCTGCCTGATCCTTCTTGTTTGGCACCCGGACAATAAGCAGCTTCCTTTCTCCTGCTGCCAACTTTGGTGTGGGTATCTGGTCTTACAGCACTGGGCAAATGGAGCCCAGTTCAGTTCAAAAACAAACAGAACTTAGAAAACAAGGGGTGGCCTCTCTGCGCACAATATCCAGATAAAGTCTCCTTCAACTCCTCAACCAATTTTGTGGCCTATAAAAGCTCATACCTCCCCTCAAAATTTTGGATAATTTCTTCAGCACTTTCATTCTTTGGGTCTCCTCTTGTTGGGTGGTGAATTTTTAAAGTATCATCATTCTTCTGTTTCATGCTGAGGCTCACATGGTTTTGAAATTGCCTCCTTTTTGCTCTCAGTCAAAAGCTATTCACAGACAACATTTATTTATAATAGATTTACTGAACTATTTTGGAGTTTTGAATGCAGTTATATTGTGTAGCACAAAGCCTAAACTATCCTTACGAAACCTACCTGTGTTGCTCCCTTAAATCTTTTCTCTCCACACTCTTCGTTTTATGATGTAGAGTAGTTAATTCTTAACTGACTGTACATTTATATTTGCATACGCAGGTAATTGAGGTACACAGTAGAATAAATATTCCTCTTGTGCAACACATCTGGGAAGAGAGCTATGCTTATGGGCAATTTTATTTTTTTTCTTACAGGAACAGTATGTAAAAAAGATCTCCTGTCATTACAGAGCTGGGTCCAAATCTCATCAAACTGAGGGAATAGAAGTTGCAGGGATGAACATCCTCCATATGATTTTAGGAGCCAATCAAAGTAAAATTCCTTAGCAAGACCTATACTAAACAGGCTATTTCTAATTGTTAATAGTTAGCATACATCACAATGACTGAGTACAATCATATCTTGGCTTAGTTCTTTGTTTCCTAGCAACTAGGCTTTTCTATAGGCATGTTAACTGAGATTAAGACATTAGCATTGTATTAAATCATAAGATCTCAAAAAAAACCTCACATCATTAAACTATAATAAAAAATAGGTCAGTTACTGTAAACCAATCTGTGATATTTTTTCTTTCCCACAAAAGTAGATATTTACTTCCTTACACTCATTATAGTGCCTGGAAAGCAGGAAGGATTCACTGTATTCTTTGTTCTTCCACTCCACCCCTGAAATACAGAGTGACTGATATGCCAGTGTTTCAGAAGGCATCATGCTCTGTTTATGAGTTTTTATAGCCCATTTCTCATCTTTTTTTTGTGAACATTCAGCAATGGCCTTTGGAAAAGTTAGCAATTGGATACATACTTACTCTTTACCATATGTTTGGGAGTCCTAAAGAATCTAAGTTGCTACCCCAGTCCATAATTAAACTTGAAAAAAAAGTGTTAAAAGTCAGTCTGGTGATCACCTTTCTACACTCTGTTTCTATGAGGTAAACTTATTTAAATTCCACATATAAGTGAAAATATGTAGTATTTATCTTCCTGTGCCTGGCTTATTTTTCCTGGTATAATGTCCTCCAGAAACATTCATGTCATTGCAAATGATAAAATTTCCTTGTTTATGAAGGTTGTATAGTATTCCGTTGTGTGTGTGTTTGTGTGTGAGTGTTTATACTACTTTTTTTTTTTCCATTCACTCATTGATGGACACTTAGGCTGCTTTCATATTGTAGCAAATGAACATGGGAATGCAGATATCTCTTTGACATACTGATTTCAATTCCTTTGGATATATAACCAGTAGGGGAATTGCAGGATCATATAATTTGAAATACAGGTGGAGGAATGGGGACATGTTGATCAAAGGGTGTAAGTTTTAGTTTGATTAGATGTATACATTTTAGTGGTCTATTGCACTGCTTGATGACCACAATTAATAACAATGTATTGTTATGTTTTGCAGTTGCTAAAAGAATAGATTTTAGTGCTTTTGCCAGAAACAATAAGTTGGTGAGGTCATGCATATGTTAATTAGCTTGATTTAATCTTTCTACAGTGTATGCACAGATCAAAACATCACATTATAACAAGTAAATATACAAAATCTGTGTCAATTTTTAAAATCTGCTTTATTTACATGTGTATATGATGATTTCTCCTATATTTACTTCACTATGAAGAGAAAAAAATACAATTACATCTTTTCTTAAAGAAATCCATATTTTGGATTTTGGGTAATTAGGTTATTTGTAGCCTAAGTGTTCTGATAGGTTTAAAATAATTCTGTTTGTAGATATCTCAAATGTTCTCATTTTTAATGTTGGGATAATATTTCCCTGCATACTTCTGTACACTAATGGAAGTGGACATTTCAAACATATTTTTAAAGGAGTTATCACACTTTGCAAATTATAGATTTATAAATGTTAGAACATTTCTTTCACTAGAAATTTAAGATAATATTTTAATATAAAATATAGTGATCTCATGATCATGAATAAGTGATATTCTAATATCATAAGAAAGTAAAATTTTATAAGAACACTAATTACATAAAAATATTAAAAATGGCTCTTTCCTGAATAAAATTCTGACACATGCTACAACTTGGATAAAACTTGAAGATATTTTAGGTGAAATAAGTTAGACACAAAAGACACATTTGTATGATTTCACTTACATGCGGTAACTATAGAAGTCAAATTCATAGAGACCAAAAATAGAATGGTGGTTTCCAGGGGAGAATTATTATTAAATGGGTACAGAATTTCAGTTTAAGATAAAAAATTCTAAAAATGAATAATAGTGATGGTTGCACAATAATGTACAGGCACTTAATGCCACTAAAATATTAATCTAAAAGTGATTAAAATGCTAAATTTTATGTTACATGTATTTTACATAATAAAAACAAGCTTTTTTCAAATATATATCAAATTCATTGACAAATGACGGCTGTTTCTAAGGGTGAGATTAGGAAAATATAAGAGGAATTCAGAGCATCTTACCCTGACAGAAAGTAATGATGTGCTAACAGAATTTAAAAAAAAAAAAAAAAGAATGCCAAAAAGATATAACAACCAAGCTGAAAACATTCCCAATGGTGAAAGTAGGAACAATTTCTGTATCAAAAGTAAACAGCATTTGATTATAACTCAAATACAATATGTATGAGTCCATAGAGATATAAATGATTGAATAAATACATAAAATGGAGAAGAGAGAAACAATTCCTCCTTGCAGAATAACCCCTATTAACAAATATGGAAATAGTGAAATAGAAAAACACTATTAGTACAACAGTAATAATTGCTGGAGGCAAGATCCAGAGATTTATGGTAATACTCATGAGCAAAAATTTAAAGACAAACAATATTTTCACATTCTCAAAATATGTCCCCTGATATATTTTATAATTACAAATGAAAACAAAATAACACTATATTGGAGAACCCTGGCAGACATTGCAAAATTACTAATTTTTTCCCTTTGTAATAATATAAATATTATGTTACACCCGATCTGATGCACTAAGACACATCATCTCTGTAACATTCTCCCCCAAAATACTATACTCTTTGACTATACTATGAATAGTAAAACACCACAAATTAAAAGATAGTCTACCAAATGCTTAACCAGTACTTTTCAAACTTGTCAAGATCAAGAAAGACAAGAAAAGACTGAGGATCTGTCTTAGATTGGGGGATAAAAAGGTTAGTAACAATGAAGTGCAATGTGGGAAACCAAATTGGATTCTGAAATTGAAAAAGGATATTAGTGAAAATACTGGTGAAACATGAATAAGTTATGTAGTTATTTTTTTAGTTTGGAGTATTATGCAGTGGGTATGTAGGATATTAACTTTAGGATAAGCTACATGAAATATGAGGGAACTTTAAATGTTATTTTTGCAACTCTTCTGTTGAGTCTAAATTCTTTTAAAGTACAAAAGTTTTTTTTTAAATGAATTTCATCCATTATTTAAAATAGGGCATTTTAGGGGCAACAATTTTCCTTTCTCTGTTTTGGGGATTATTTTAGATACTTGAAGTTAATCAAACAGTATTTTTTTACTAGATGTATACTCATTGTTTCTTCATTCATTCATTCGTTTGTTCATCACTCAATTCATTTATTTCAATACTAAATTTTCACTGAATTACTTAGGTTTTGCCACATACAAATAAATGTAAACAATGTAGATCATCTTATTTTTAGAAACTTTAACTGGTATTTCAATGTAATATTTAACACTGTTTTTCTCACTTTATAGTCATATAGGCTATTATATATTTTCTCTTTTAAATAAGGACTATCTAGAAAATTAATGTTAACATTTACCTATTAGTTTAATTCTTGTCTTTACTCCCGTTTGTTATTAATTTCATTATGCATATTCTACCAAACCTTTATTAAGGTAATTATTAAATCATTATTTCCTTTTCTTATTTTTCACAAAATGCTCCAAAAAAATTAAAAAAAAAATCAAAGGAACTCTGTAATAGAGCAATCTAATAGAAATGCTCTCTCTCCCCTTCTATTTATGTTTAGTTACAATCATTTCCAAAAGAAAAGTATCTTTTCTAAACACGAACCCAAAATTTACAATGAGACTATTAAAGGAAAATATTATCTGTTTATTCTCTACTAAAAAAATTAGACCTAATGCAGACATAACAGCAACATCTTTTCATTCGGATAATTTCACATCATGCCAGTCTCCTTTAATGAAGCTTCCAGTCACTAATCTATCAAAACATGAAGTGTGTGTAAGCATCATAAATAAATATATGAAAATACTTCTTTGAGCCTACAGAACCATCTGTTTATCTTGTGTACTCTGTATTGCTATAAAAGTTAATTTCTGACTTGAAATTTGCATTCCCAAGGGCTGTAAGACTACTATCGCTTTGCTTGACAAAGCAGCAAAAAACCTGACAGTTGTCAGAAAAAAAAATTGATAAGGTTTCTATACATAAAAAGAAAAATGAACTCATTTTTATCTCTCTCCAAGTTATCTCAGCTTTAAAACGTCCCAGAAAAGTGAATAGAAATGAAAGAGTTCATTTTGAAAGATGCTACTAATTGATATTGGAATCATAGTAACTAATTCTCTTGAGTAGACTTGAATTAAAACTGTAAAGTAGATGACTTTTAAATTTGAGAATCTTAATGGCAATTATTCTACTTTCTTTTTGGTCTCTGTCATGCTTTATGGTCCTGCAATCTTTGCCACTGTTATCACCTCTGCAGCCCTGTGATACTTATGTGTTACTTTGTATAGACATTTGACTTGTGCTTTCTCTTCTTGCTCTTCTCCCCTGCTCCCTTCCTTCTGTCTTTTTTTCCCATCCATCTGAGAAATATTAGGCATTCATTATGGCATTGAAAATAAAATAGACAGTCAGAGCTCTAAGTCACACACAGACTGTGTGGCTCAAGGTCCAGAAGATAAGAGAGACAGGAAATAATAGATATATTTTGTATTTTATGATACCTCTTCTTACCACAGACAGTAGCCTGTGCTGCAGTACACAGTTCTAGTGAGACCAGACTCACCTGGTGCTGACACTGACCCCATTCATATACTGAGCTTCTTGTCACTCTTTTTCCCCAGTGCCTTCTTCAATACCATTATAACTATATTGGCCTCTGTCCACATGCTTACCAAAAGTTTTGGTGATTGAGGCCCCTTTAGGCAACTCTCAGACAGTAGAAGAAAGCAGCAGGGAGATAAATGGCCCAGCCTTTCATAGATCAGGCAAACAATACTGGAAGCCATTTCCCCAAGAGCTGCTAGTAGAATTGAGCCTCCGTAGTTCATGAATGTAAAATATATACTACAACCTGAAATATAATTTTCTTTATTTAATGAATCATTCACTTTGTTCCATCACATCTCCTTGCTGGCTGAAATTCTCCCAAAAATATGTACACTCATATCCTTGTCTCAAGTTCTTCTGGAGGATCACAACTAAAAATATAAATTTATTAAATAAATATATGATTATGAATCAGATTAACTTCGATGACTAATAATGAAGAGAGTTTTACAACAGAGAAATAATTTTGGATCTTTTTTTTTCCCTCAAAACTTGTTAGAGGCCCATTGTGTTAACCAATGTAATGAGTCTGTGACAAGTTTTGTGATGGTTTGTACAAGCTTCTTAGTAGTGTTTATTGATATCAATGAAGTTAATGATTTATACTTTGCGAGAATCCTGGGGAGCTCTGCCACTGATACTCTCCACATAGCTAGAAATATGCCCGTCCATTTAACTAGCAGCATATAAGAAGCTCCAGCTCAGATTTCAATTTTGGGATCCTGTTTCCTCTGTGTTCTTGGCCCACCTGTTTGGCTTGTGATCAGAAAGAGAAAGGGGATGGTTCCCTTCTGCCCAGCAGCCCCCACTGATGCGAGAGAGGCCCTATCTTGGGGATGCTGCTGTGAGAATACTGGTGCCCCAATTGTGTTTATCTTGGCTTGTAACACTGGGATTCCATGCCAAAAGAGGCTACCTGGTGCTACCACTCTCCTCAGCCACTAAGCACAACTTTTAAAGCAAGAATGTCACTCAGGGAAAAACACATCATTGTCCCTGCCCCCAACACCAGAAACTGGATGACAGATTTTGTCTGAGGAAAAAAGCAGGTCATACAATGGAGCTCCAAATCTCTTCCCAAAGAAATTGACTTCCTTTACAACAGAATGTGAAAGAGTACAAGCTTAAAAGTGCTCTCAAAAACAGTGGAAGTTGTGATATAAGGCAATTTGAAGATGAGTGGGGGTCATTGGACATATAGACTAAGCTGTAGGACAGCTAGTTTACTAGAAAGAAATGGGAAAAGAGACATCTTAAATTGCAAATACCTGGCCTTAGAATTTCTCCTTCAAAAGTGCCCAAATCTGATTGGATTTGGCTGTGCAGCAATTTATGCCTGAGACATTGTTGGAAACAGAGCAATCGGCTGGCAATTAATTAAGTTGAAAATTATGTTTGATCAAGGAAAAAGAAAAACAAAGAAAGCCCAGTCAAAACCACTATCATTGCAGGTGACTATGGGCCTATCTAACATTACACCCCGAGGAGCAACATCAGAGACTTCACACTGCCAGAGGGATGAGATGAGGAAGAGAAATAGATTTTACTGAAGTAATACAGTCAGTCATTAAATAAGTAAACAAACAAATAATAATAACAATCTTTGGAGAGACTAGCACTTAGAGTTACTACAGTATATTATCCAAAATATAAAGTTTCTAACAACACAAAAAAGATATATGCAAAGACACAGCAAAATATGACCTGTGTATGGCAGAGGGCAGGGAGGGGGAGCTGGAAGTAGGCCACAAACATTGACTGTGACTGAGATCAAATGTCAGATTTAACACAAACAAATTTCAAAATAGCAATTATAAATATGCTCATAAAACTAAAGGAAACCATTCTTATTTTGTTTTGTTTTATTATTATAATTTAAGTTCTAGGATACACATGCAGAATGTGCAGGTTTGTTACATAGGTATACATATGCCATGGCAGTTTGCTGCACCCATCAACCCGTCATTTAAAGAAATAAAAGTTGGTGCTTGGTTCAGGTGCTCATGCCTTTAATCCTAACACTTTGGTAGGCTGAGGAAGGAGGATTGCTTGAGGCAAGGGTTATAGACCAGCCTGGGCAACATAGCAAGACCTTGTGTCAAAAAAAGAATCAAAAATGTTCTGGGCTTAGTGGCATGCACTTGTAGTCCTATCTACTCAAGAGGCTGAGGTGGGAAGATTGCTTTAGCGTAGGAGTTCAAGGTTACTGTGAGCTATGATTGTATGATTGTGCCACTACACTCCAGCCTAGGTGACAGAGTTAGACTCTATCTCTAAAAAACAGAGAAAGAGGCTGGGTGCGGCAGCTCACACCTGTAATCCCAGCACTTTAGGAGTCTGAGGTGGGAAGATCACGAGGTCAGGAGTTTGAGACCAGCCTGGCCAACACAGTGAAACCCCATCTCTACTAAAAATACAAAAATTAACCAGGCATGGTGGTGTGCACCTGCAGTCCCAGCTACTCGGGAGTCTGAGGCAGAAGAATCACTTGAACTGGGAAGCAGAGATTGCAGTGAGCCGAGATTGTGCCACTGCACTCCAGCCTGGGTGACAGAGTGAGACTCCATCTTAAAAAAACAAAACAAAACAAAACAAAAAACAGAGAAAGAAATGATGACAATTTTGCATCATAGTGAATATTAATTAAAAGATAGAAATTATATTTCTTAAAAAAAGGAACCAAATGAAAATTCTGGAGTTGATAAGTACAACTGAAATTAACATTACCTTAGAGGGACTCAGCAGTGGATTTGAACTGGTAGAAGAAAGAGCAAGCTTCAAGCTGTATTGATAGAATTTGTGCAATCTGAAGAATGGTGGGGAAAAAAAGAAAATGAATTGAACATCAGAGGAATATGGAATGCCGTTAATCATACTAAATGTGTATAATGGGACTACAAGAAGGATAGGAAAGAAAATGTAGAAAAGATATTTGAAAAAATAAAAGCCAGATTCTATGGCTCACACCTGTTATCCCACCACTTTAGGAGGCCAAAGCAGGATGATTACTTGAGGCCAGGTGTTCACGACCAGCCTGAGCAACATAACGAGACCCACGTGTACCCTAGAACTTAAAGTATGATTTAAAAAAAAAAAGAAAAAAAATAAGCTGGGCATAGTGGCATGTGCCTGTAATCCCAGCTACTTAGGAGGCTGAGGTGGGAGGATTGCTTGAGCCTTGGAGGTCAAGGCTGCAGTGAGCTATAATTGCACCACTGCACTCCAGCCTGGGTGACAGAATCAGATCCTGTCTCAAAATAATAATGATAATAATAATAATGATGGCTGAAAAATATTAATATACACATTCAGAAAACTCAATGATCTCCAAGTAGGATAAACACAGAGAGACCCACAAATAGTAAAAATACTGAAAGCTGAAGACAAGGAAAAAATCCTGAAAGCAGTAAAAAAAAAAAAAAAAATTACTTATAAGGGAACCGATGTTAGGTTAACAGCTGTATTCTTATCAGAATCAATGGAGTCCTGAAGGCAGTGGGATAACAAAGTGTTCAAATTACCAAGAATCTTACATTCGCAAGACTGCCTTTCAAATATGAAGGCAAAATAAAGAATAAACAAAACCTGAGAAAATATGTTGCTAGCTAACCTGCATTATAAGGAATATTAAAGGAAGTATTTTAGGCTGAAAGCAAGTGATCCCAGACAATAAGTCAAATCCACACTAGAAATAAAGAGCACTGGGAAAAGTAACTATGTAATTATAAAAGACATTAGAGATGTATAGTTCTGGTTCTTTCTTCTTTAACTGACTTAAAACACAATTGTATAAAATAATACATACATAATATATTGTTGGGCCTATAACATGCAGAAAATTAATATATTTACCAACAACAGCACAAAGAAAGTAGATGAGCAGAAAAGCTTATTGGGCAAAGGAAATGACTCCAAATAGTAACTGAAACCCACAGGAACAAATGAAGAGACAGAGAATGATGAATAAGAAGACGAATAAGTTACAAATATATATTATTTTTTTCTTCCTTCTGTCAGATTTTTAATTTTTTATTTTTAATCTTTTTTTTTATTTCCATACCTTTTGGTGATACTCACCCAACACTTAGCCTCAGCAACAGGTAGCTGGGGTAAAGATGAGAAATGTCAATGCCCTACTCCTCCCAGGAAAATAGCCCTCAGACTGGTAGCAGGAGGGAGAAGAAACCCCGTGTTTTCAGCAGCAGCAGTTTGGAGTGAGTCTCCACATTACTGAGCTGGGAGAGGGGAGGAAGTATGTAGATTTTGGTTCAAATATTGCTAACATATGTATTTTTTAGTTTTAGTAGATTTCTATGAGTGTTTCTTCATTTGCTATATGCTGGTAAGGCTTTCTCCAGATACTTTAAATTTCTGTTTTCAAAAATAATTGTTACCAGTTTCAATGAAAAGTTGGTCTGCAGAACTCCTCATGCTCAGGGAAATTTCTCAATTATAGGGTAGGGATTCTTCGTAGAAAGTGGGTACAAGAAGAGCGTATTGAAAGTCCCTGTTCAGAAACATGGAGAGTCACTGGACTGGTGCATGAACTTTGCCTATCAGTGGTAGTATGACATCTCCCATGAGTGTGTTGGGATGAAAAAAAGGCAGAAAATTACTGTAGTTCTTTCCTACAGTTAGAAAGTTCCTTATATGAAGAAATGGATATGCTATCTACACAGAAATTTCCCACAGATCCCAAGTAGATAAAGAATATAGTTTTATAGTTAATTTAAAGTAATGTAAACAAGTTTACAAGAAAAAACAACCCAATTAAAAAGTGGGCAAAGGACATGAACAGACACTTTTCAAAAGAAGACATTCATTTGGCCAACAAACATATGATAAAAAGCTCAACACCACTGATCATTAGAGAGGTGAAAATCAAAGCTATAATGAAATGCCATCTCATGCCAGTCACAATGACAATTATGAAAAAGTGAAGAAACAGCAGATGCTGATGAGGATGTGGAGAAAAAGGAACACTTTTACACTGTTGGTAGGAATGTAAATTAGTTCAATGATAGTGGAAGACAGTATGGCAATTTCTCAAAGATCTAGAACCATAAATACCATTTGATGCAGCAATCCCATTACTGGGTATATATACATCATTCTAGTATAAAGATACATGCATGCATATGTTCATTACAGCACTATTCACAATAGCAAAGACATGTAATCAACTGAAAGGCCCATCAGTGATAGACTGGATAAAGCAAATGTGGTACATACATACTATGGAATACTATGCAGCCATAAAATGGAACAAGGTCATGTCATTTGCAGGAACATGGATGGAGCTGGGAGCCATCAACCTCAGCAAACTAACCCAAAACCAAATTGCATGTTGTCACTTAAACGTGGGAGCTGAACAGTGAGAACACACACTGCAGGAACAACACATACTGGGGCCTGCTGGTTAGGTGTGGGGGAGGGAGAGCATCAGGAATAACAGCTAATGGATGCTGGTCTTAATACCTATGTGGTGAATTGTTCTGTGTAGCAAACCACCATGGCACAGGTTTACCTTGTAACAAACTTGCACATCCTGAACATGTACCTTGGAACTTAAAAGTTGAAGAAAAAAAAGACTTAAAAGCAAAAATAAATAAATAAAGTAATGTAGGGAATTAACCACAAAAAGAGAAAAACAATAAAGAGAAATGATGTCCATTATGGCTCTTACAAAGGGAGAAAAATTCGAGTTTGTGTCTGTGATGCAAACATTGACTAAGATGCACACCTTTATTTTAATGCTGTTGCTATATTGTATCCTTTGCCTAAAATAAATTGTAGATTAGTGAGCACTGACATTTTGGGTGCTGTAAGTCCTCTTTAACAATCAAACCCTATATAATTCCTAATGTTATGCAGAAAGAAATCTTCTTTCACAGTGAGAATGATACTTTTTTTTTTTGTTATTGCTGTTAAGAACAAATTATCCAATACATTATAGCCTAAACATTAAAAAGAAGTAGTATAATTTACCACATTAACAAATTTAATGAGAAAAGTTATAATTGTCTTAATAGGAGTGGAAAAGGTAACAAAAATCAATATTTATCACTGAAAAAAAATTCATCAAATAGGAACTGAAGAAAACTTTTTCAACCTGATAAAGATATTCTATATAAAACCTACAGCTGATATCATACTGAAAGCTGAAAGAATATGATAAGGAGCAAGGCAAGAATATTTGCTCTTAACTACTTATATTCAATATTCCAGTGGTGATTCTAGCCAGGGCAATAAAGCAAGGGAAAAAAGGCATCCAGATTGGTAAGGAAGAAATAAAACTTATTTGACATGAGAAAATTATATGGTCATCTATGTAGACAATTTAATGGAACCTAAAATAAGACGCTAGAATTATTAGGGAGTTTAGTGAGAGTCTAGTCTACAAAATCATTTACAAAAAATTACTGTATCCCACATACTATCAATGACTAACCAAAAGTTGAAATAATAATGATTTATTATAGCATAAAAATATAGGAATAAATCTGACAAAATATATGTAAGATTGTATAGTAAAAGTTGGATAATATTGTTAAAATAACCTTAATGAAAAGGGAGATATATTCTGTACATGGGTTGAAAAATATATATATTTAAGAAGTCAGTTTTCTACAAATTGAACAGTACATGTAATACGATCTTAAAGTCCGAGCAGATTTTTCTCCCATAGAGTTTAACAGGCCAGTTTTAAAATTAAAATAGAAATGTAAAGGAGTTGGACTGACCAAAAATCTGCAAAACCATGATAAACACAACTTAGTTTTATGACTCATTATAAAGCTACAATTATCAAGAAAGTGTGGAACTGGAGACAAGACAGATGAACAGATTGATAAAACAAAATAAAGAATCTAGGACTAGACATGTGTATTGATAACTGATTTTAGGCAGACGTGCACAGTATACTCAGGAGGGAACAAATAGCCTTTTCAACAGATGGGACTGAAAAATATATACCCCTATATTAAAAATTAACTTGGATAAATATATTGTACAATATATAAAAATAATTCAAATTGAATCATACATATAAATGTAAATCCTAAAATTATGAAACTTCTAGAAGAAATAACATAAGAGATAATATTTGTGACACGGGATTTGGCAAAAATTTCTTAGATATGATAACAAAAGCACATTGCATACAAAATATTTTGGTAAATTAGACATCATTAAAATAAAAAGTTTCTACTCTTTAGAAGACACCATCAAGAATACTACTATAAAAAATAACATTTTTTGCAAATCACATAGCTGATAAAGGACTTTTGTACAAAAGACTTGAACAGACATTTCAAAGAAGATTTCAATTAAATGTATGAAAAGATGCTCAAAGTCCGTAAGGAAACACAAAAAGATACCACTAGATTCTTACTGAAATAGCTAAATCAAAAACGAAACCGAGAACAGGCATGGTGACTCACACCTATAATCCTAGATTTCGGGGAGGTTAAGGCAGGAGGATCACTTGGGTAACATAGAGAGACCCCATTCCTACAAAAAAATTTAAAAATAGTTGGGCATGGTGGCTGGTACCTGTAGTCCCAGTTATTCAAGAGACTAAGGCAGAAGGATTTCTTGAGCCCAGGAGTTCAAGGTTATAGTGAGCTATGATTACACCACTGCACTCTAGCCTGGGCAACAAAGTGAGTCCCTGTCTTGAAATAAAATAAATCAAAAAGGAAAAAGAAAAATTAACTGATTATACCAAGTGTTGGCAAGGATGTGGAAGAACTAAAGAATGTACCAATGGAATTTGTATGTAAACAATGTAAAATGGTACATCCATTTTGGAAAACCATTTGATAGTTTTCTAAAAATTTTAAGTGTAAACTTACCATATGATGACAACATTGTACTCCTAGGTATTTATTTGTCCAGGGAAATACAATCTTGTGTATCTGCTCATACAAAGACTTCTGCGTAAATGTTCTTAGTGACTTTATTTGTAAAGTCTCTAGGAACAAGAGACTGGAAACAACACAACTATTTATTAGTAGATAAATGAATAAATTATGGTGTATTCACTCAATGAAATATTACTCAGCAATAAAAACATGTAATATTGACATACATGTAAATGAGTCTCAAAATAATGTTGCTGATTGAAAGAAACTAGGCAAAAAAGAATACATACTGAATAATTCTATTTGCATAAAATGAGACTATGCTAAGTAATCTTTCGTGACAGAAAGCAGATATTTTACATACAAGTCTGTGATATACTGCTACAACTTAATTTTAGGAAGCAAATTATCCTTTAAAACAATTAAATATTAGAAAAAATATAATTTCATTTTTAGCATTTCTAGAGTGTCATGATCTTTGTCCAAATCCAAGATTCTGTCTGGCTTTATGTTCCTTTAGTCTATGAAGTTTTCTTTCACATTATTTTTAGTACAAGTCTGCAAGTAATAGATTCTCTAGCTTTTGTGTCTCTGAAGAATCTGTACTTCACTTTCAGTTTTGAAAGATGTTTTCTCTGGGTATAATGTTCAGCGTTGAATGATTTTTCCTTCATTATTTGAAGGATGACAGTCCAATGACTTCTGACTTCCATTATGTCTAATAATGAATCTTCTGTACTGCATAACTTTATGCTCTTATAGATAATGCAGTTTTTTTTAATATGCTTGTCTTAGACATTTTCTCTTTATGTTTGGTTTCATAAGTTTGTCTTTGATATATCTGGGTGTATGTGTTTGAGTCTGTGTGTTTTTCCATGTGTGCAGGAATTTTTTTGTTTTCCATTTTGGTTTCACTCTGCTTTTTGGATATGTCATTCAACTTCTTTAATCGTTTTGTTTTTAACTTCCAACATTTTAAATTGTTTAAATTCTCTATTGTCTTCCTTCTGGAGTTCCAATTATATCTTAATTCTGCTGACTGTTTTTGTTTGTTTGTTTAAGTGTTTTGTTTTCCTACTTCTTCCTCTTACTTTGGTGTAATGTAATTTTTACTGAATTCTAGAAATCCTATGGAGCATACATCTATGGAATACTGAATCAATAAAGTCAGAGCTAACTCATGTTTGTGTTGTGCTATTTCTCTGGCTGCTTTCAGGGAAACGGATTCTTCAAATTCCCTTAATAATTCCTTGCATATAGAAAAAAATGTGAGTGCATATATCAAAGCCTTCATTAAAACCTAATATTGGTTGCCTAAAGCTGAGAGATGTATGAAATATTTGACCAATGTTATTATCTATGGCCCACAAAAATTTCCATTAAAGGAAATAATGTATCCTTCTTATTATCTTTTCAATTATCCTTATTATTTTTCAACTCTCTAATCATGATGATGCATGCATTTGGTCCTTAGCTACTGGACTGACCAGAGAGGATGGACTTATCTGTACAAGTGGAACAAAACGATCAGATGTTATCTCCATATCATGGCAAATAATATCAAAAGGGAATAAAAAACACACTATGGACTATTACACATACCATTCCAAGTGGAATATGAAAATGAAGTGAAATTAAAATAATGTACCAAGGTAAAAGTTTAACATGGAACAAAACAAAACAACTACATATTTTTTATGTGGTTCTTAATATTAGGTAAAAGTGATTTCACAGTTAGTACTGAAATGGCAGAAACGTATTGAAGGTTAAACATATTCAATGTGGACTTGAAACAAATGTATGCCCACAGCCAACTACTGCATGTAGTTTAGGATATTATTTAAGCCTTCCAAGTAGTAGCAATTGTTCTATCTTTTAGGTTTTAGTATTACTCTGTTCCAACAGGATCATGAGGGAATTGGATATCTGGAAGTATTTCAGAAGTGATCACTCAAGTGCAACTTCTATTCTTGCTTATTCTGATCTTTCAGAAAATCAAAACATAAAACCAACCAAACAAACAAAGAAACAAGGAAACACATACACACAAAACAATTCTTTTAACTAACTTTAATATTTCAGGCTGTAATTTTATAATATGTATTTATCTCCTTCACAGGAGACTACTCTAATAATTATGTTGAGGCTTTGCTTCTTGATAAAAATACAAAGAGGCCGGGCGTGGTGGCTCACGCCTGCAATCCCAGCACTTTGGGAGGCCGAAGCGGGCTAATCACAAGGTCAGGAGATCGAGACCATCCTGGCTGACACCGTGAAAACCCGTCTCTACTAAAAAAAAAAAAAAAAAAAAAAAAAAAAAAAAAAAAAAAAAATTAGCCGGGCGTGCTGGCGGGCGCCGTATTCCCAGCTACTCCGGAGGCTGAGGCAAGAGAATGGCGTGAATCCAGGAGGCAGAGCTTGCAGTGAGCTGAGATCACACCACTGCACTGCAGTCTGGGTGACAGAGCGAGACTCCGTCTCAAAAAAAAAAAAAAATACAAGGAATTATAGATGAAATTTCATATACATTACAAAATTATTTTAGCATTGTTTTTATTTATTTATTTATTTATTTATTTATTTATTTATTTTTGAGACAGAGTCTTGCTCTGTCGCCCAGGCTGGAGGGCATTGGCGTGATCTTGGGTCACTGCAACCTCTGCCTCCCGGGTTCAAGCGATTCTCCTGCCTCAACTTCCCGAGTAGCTGGGACTACAGGCGCCCACCACCATGCGCAGCTAACTTTTGTATTTAGTAGAAACGGGGTTTCACCATACTGGCCATGCTGATCTCAAATTCCTGACCTTGTGATCCGCCCACTTCGGCCTCCGAAAGTACTGGGATTACAGGCATGAGCCACCGCACCCGGCCTATTTTGGTACTGTATACTTTTTATTGTGATTTAATTTAGGTACAATAAAATAAACCTATTTATGTGTACAGTTTGATGAAAATTGACAAAGATTTGTACCCATGTAATGACCATCCCAAACAGGATACAGATATTCCTAACACCCAGACAGTTCCTTAATGCCTCTTTCCAGTCAAAATTTATCCTCAGAAGCATATACTATTCTTATAATTATTATTATAGAGCATTTGGTCTACTTTTGAACTATATATACAGGATATCTCACGTTGTATACTTTTTATGTGTTTGGCTTCTATAGCTCAATAAAACGGTCTCTAAGATTTGTCCCTGCTATTGCATGGACTGGTAGCTCATTCAATTTTATTTTATAGATACATCACAATTTGTTTATCGATTCGTTAGTGGATATTTAGGTATTTTTAGTTTTATGCAACGATAATTAAAACTTCAATGACTATTTTTATATGAGTCATTTTGCGGGGCTATGTGCTTATTTCTCTTGGATAAGTACACAAGCATTGAATTGCTTGGTCAAAGTGTAGCTTTAATTTTATAAGGAACTAGCAGTTTTCCATAAATATCTGCACAATTTTAAACACTTGCCTGCACCATATGACAGTTCTAGTCACTGTACACCTTAACCAGTATATTTACTTTCACTTTTTAGTCATTGTATTAGTTGTAGAATGATATTTCTTTATGGCTTTTTCACTTTTCTGATGTCTAATAATCTTGGCAATTTTTTTTTTTTTTTTTTTTTTTTTTTTTTTTGAGACAGAGTCTCACTCTGTCGCCCAGGCTGGAGTGCGGTGGTGCAGTCTCAGCTTACTGCAAGCTCTGCCTCCCGGGTTCATGCCATTCTCCTGCCTCAGCCTCCCAAGTAGCTGGGACTACAGGCGCCTGCCACCACGCCCGGCTAATTTTTTGTATTTTTAGTAGAGACGGGGTTTCACCATGTTAGCCAGGATGGTCTCGATCCGACCTCGTGATCCACCCACCTTGGCCTCTCAAAGTGCTGGGATTACAGGCGTGAGCCACCGTGCCTGGCCATTCTTGGCAATTTTTTATACCCTACGGGATATGTAGATATGCTATTTTGTAAAGTATTACTCAAAGTTTTGTATGTATTTTAGGTTATTTGTCTTCTTATTATGCAATTTTAAAAGACTTTCCATATTTTGACTGAAATATGTGGGCTTATATTACATCATTTTTTTAAAAAACATAATTTTTAGAGTTTCAGAGTTACAGAAAAATTGAGAACATAGTACAGAAAATTCTCATATATCTGGCACTCAGTATCCCCTGTTATTAACATCTTGCATTCATATGGTACATTTGTTATAATTAATAAATTAATATGTATACATTATTGGTAAGTAAGTTGATAATTAAATGATATTCCTTTAGTTTTTATGTAATATGCTTTTCTGTTGCAACATTTGCAGGCTACCACATTACATTTCATTGTCACTGCCCTTAGGCTATTTTTGATTGTGACTTCATTGTTTTTTAATTTTTTAAAATTCAACAGATAATATTGTATGTATTTAACATGTACAACTTTGATGTATTGAGGTACAGATACATTGTGGAATGGTTACCTCTAGTTAATAACAAATGCATTACTTCACACAGTTATCATTTTTGTCGTGCCAGCACTCAACATCCACTCTCTCTGCATTTTTCCAGAAAACAATATGTCATAATTACCTATAGTTACCCCACTGCACAACAGATCTCTAGAGTTTATTCCTCCTATCAAACTGTAATTATGTATCTTTTGACCAACCTCTCCCCATCCCACCCCCTCCAACCCCTGCCCCATGCCAGCCTCTGGTAACCATTATTCTACTCTCTACTCCTATGATTTCACATAATGGGTGAGATCATGCAAAATCTGTCTATCTGTGTCTGCCTTACTCAGTTAACATGACTAGGTACATATCCAAAGGAAATGAAATAAGTAGGTCAAAGGGATATCTGCTCTCCCTGTTTATTGCAGCACTATTAATAATAGCCAATATATGGAACTGACTTCAGTGTTCATCAATGAATGCATGGATAAGAAAGTGAGGTATGCATACACAATGGAATACATTTCAGCCATAAAAAAGAATAAAATCTGTAATTTGTGAAAGCATGGATGGACCTGTAGCCTTTCTTATTTTTTGTGGCATTGGCAGTTGTGAGGAGCACTAGTCAGGTACTTTGTAGGTTGCCCATCTATTGAAATGTGTTTGATATATTTCTCATAATTAGACTGGAGTTATAGATTTTGGGAAGACCACAGAGGTAAAAACGCAATTTTCCTCACATAATATCAAGAGTAAATATTGACATGATAATTTATCACTTTTGATGTTGATCTCGATCACCTCTCTGAGGTAATGTTTATGAGGTTTCACCACTGTAAATTTGCTCTATTTTTTTCCCCTTTCAATACTACACTTGAATTGTTCCAGCTTTGGCATTTGGGAGTTCTTCCAATTGATTCCTGATTCCCTCTAATATAGCCCCATGTATGTGAGCTCTGTTTTCATGTTTGTTTGTTTGTTTTGCTTTGTTCTTCTTAGCATTTCCCCACTTTCTGGTATTATAAGACCTTCCAGGATCATATCGCATATTTTTCAAAGTAGCCTTGGTTCTTTTTTTTTACTGTAGAATGGTATTCAAAGGCAAGATCTGAGTGTTAGGTAGATTTTGTTCCTGGGCTGTCATTTCTTTTAGACAGAGCAAGAAAATATATGTGTATACTAAACAATGTATACACCACACATATTTATAATATTTCATTATGTGTGACCCTGTAACTACATGAAGTTAAATATGAATACATACTCATTTCTCCAACTTCAATCCACTAACACATAGATCATTCTAGTCTCATTTTCTTGCTTATCTATAACCCTCGAGGTCAAAATAAAGAGAACCAGCTCTCACAATCCACATGCTTTTTTTTTTTAATTCCAGTACACATGTATAGTATCACAATTACTAACCCAAAGCCACATAACCCATTGAAACGTTTTCTAAATTAGATTACACTGTGTTTGTGCAGTTCCTTTCATCTTACATCTTACAAATTCTCCTAATTTTCAAAATGATTTAGGTCAGCACAGTTTCCTTCTAACTCCTTAAGTGAAATTGTTTCACACATTTTATAGTAGTGATAGATTTCTTATCACAGTCAGGATTCTTTTCAGAGATGCCCCAACCTTCCAGTCTTAAAATTTGCAGAAACTAAGATTCACTCTTTTTGCTTTAATGTTCTGTGGGTTTTAACAAATGAATCATTTTATATAACTACTGATACAGGATATTTCCCTGACCCCTTTGCGGAACTTGTGACAGGGGTGCCTCTTTTACTCAGCCCGCCGTTCTCAACTCCTCCCAGGAGAAAACACGTGAGCGAACAAGTGCGGGAACTGGAGTGAAGGAGCACTGGAACTGCCTGGCCGCTTTGTGCGGGAGGGATCAAACTCCACTCACTCAGACCTGCTGGGTTCCACCCCTTGCAGGAGGGAGTGCACAGGTGAGTGGGTGCAGGAACTGCCAGATGCTTTAGCCGCCACAGGAGCAAACTCCATGCAGGCCCCATGGCAGCATCCAGGCAGGCATGTTAAAGTGCTCTTTTAGCTCTGCCATCCACGAATGGCTTAAGTGTTAACAGCTCAGTGGGCCCTTTGCCTTTTCACGTGAGGCACCTACCTTCCACCAGCGAGGGCACAGGGCCAGTGTGACAGTCTTTTGTATCCACATTTGTGGCACCTGAGTTCTTGTCTGGCTTCCAGGAAAAATGAGGTCGCATGAACGAATTGAAGGATGGTAAATGCGGGGCATTTTATTACCAATGAATGTGGCTTTCAGTGGGAAGGGGAAGTAAAAAGGGGACGGGGCAGGTAGGTAATCTTCCCCTGAAGTCTGGCCATCTCTGGACGGATTCTTCTCTGAAGTTACGCCATCAAGCTGTCCTTCTGAAGTCAAGCCGCTTCTCTCCAACATCCAGCCATAGTCCTGTCTACTGGTTGAGTCTGGAGTTTTTATAGGCACAGGATGGGATGGGGCAGGGCCATGGTGGTTTAGGAAAAGGCGACATTCAAGCAGGAAAACAGAGACATAAGTTATCACCTTGGGCCACGGTTTCAGTCTTCTCAGCTTGAGCGTGGGGTTTCACGGAGGACCCACATTTTTCTGCCTAGAATTTATTGGCCTCCTGTCCCTATCAATACCATTACACTAATTTTAAAATTTGCATAAACTAAGATTCATTCTTTTGCTGTAATGTTCTATGGGTTCTAACAAATGCATCATTTTATGTACCTACCGTTACTCTATCATACAGAATAGTGTCACCTCACTAAGTGTCCTCTGTGCTTCACAGACACAACCTTCATACTCTACCCCACCACCCAACTCCTGACAACTGCTGATCTATTTTTTCTCTATAGATTTGCCTTTTCCAAAATGTTATATAATGTGTATCATATGGTATGCAGCCTTTTCAGATTGTATTTTATTCAGCAATATGCATTAAAATTTCTTCATATGTTTTCACAGATTGACACTTCATTTTACAAATCTCTGAATAATGTTACGTGATTTTTGTAGTTAGATTATCCATGTACCTATTAAAGGACATCCTTGTTGCTTCTAGTTTGGGGACGAGGATAAATAAAGCTGCTATAAACATGTGTGTGCAGATTCCTGAGTTGACATACATTTTAAAACCAGTTAAATAAATACCTAGGAATGTGATTATTGAATTGCATGGTAAGATTATATTTAGTTTTGTAAGAAATTACTATGTTAGTTAATGCATCTGGGTAATAGCTAGATTTTGTCATTTCACAATGTGTATATATATATTTTTTCAAACAATATGCTGTATACAATATATACATAAAATCTTATCTGCCAATTAAAAAATAAATTTAAAAAAATAAATTGCCAATCTGTTTTCCAAAGTGACTGTACATCCTCACTAGCAATGAACGAACATCTCGAATTTCTCTGTTGGTCTTCATCCTTACCAGAATTTGGTTTTGTAAGGTTTTGTGGTGTTAGTAATTGTAATTATTTAGCCATTGTTATAGCCTTTCAACAAGTTTGCAGTAGTTTCTCAATTTTTTAAAATAGGCTATTCCCTAATAATAAATGAGGCAGAGAATCTTCTCATACACTTACTTGCCATCTGTATATCTTCCTTAGTGAGATGTCTTTTCCAATAGCTTACTCATTGTTTTAAATGGGTTGTTTGTTTTCTTATTGCTGAGCTTTACATTTTCTTTGCATATTTTTGGATACAGGTCTTTTATCAGATATGTGTTTTGCAAATATTTTCTCCCCATTGTGGCTTGTCATTCTTTTAACAATGTCTATTTTGGAAATCCGATTTTTCCAGCATCATTTCTGGGAATCTCTATTTTTTCTCCATGGAAACCTTCGCTTCTTTGTTAAAAATTAGTTGTCTATATGTATTTGAGTCTTCTTCTGGGCTCTGTATTTTGCTTCATTTATTGATATTCCTATCTTTATTACAACCCTATGCTCTCTTGTTTCTTATAGGTTTATAGTAAATCTTAAGGTGTGCACTGCCAGTTCTGTTTCTCTATATGTCTATTCTTTTGCTAATACCACACTCTTCATTACTGTAGACTCTTGAAATCCGGTAATGTCAATTCTCCAACTCTGTTTTTCATCAGTATTATGTTGGAAAATCTAGGTCTTGTGGCTTTCCATATAAACTAAAATCACTTTGTCAATATTTATAAAACCACTTGAGGAGATTTAGGTTGAGATTGCCTTGAATCTATAAATCAAGCTGGGAATAATTGACATCATAATATTGATAATCCTTTCAATCCATGAACAGGAAATACTTCTGCATTTGTTCTTAATGTTTCTTGAGGGTCACTTTTAGACCTATGTGTTATTTAGAAGTGTGCTACTTAAATTCCAATTGTTTCAGGATAGGATTTTTCTTCCTCATTTCCATTATTTACTTCTATTTTAATTACAATGTGGTCTTGAACCTACTTTACAAGATGCTTATGATTTAAGTATATTGAGGTTTATTTTATGACTCAGAATGTGACCTGTCTTGGTGAAAGTTTCATTTGTACTTGACAAAAATATGTATTCTGCTATTGTTGGATGGAGTATTCAGTAAATGTCAATTAGATCAAGTTATTTCACAAGAGCCAAGAAATTTAACTTTCCAGGCTTCAAAATTTTTTTTTATTCTATAGAACGATAGCATTGGTGTTTAAATATTTAAGAAATATGTTTTACAGTTAATTTTCTATAACATATGTTTCTATTAAATGGTGTTAGAAAAAGAGCAGGGAAATAATTTTTAAAATGCGGATACGACACAGTCATTTCAACATACTGCATCTTGATAATTTTAATATTAACATGTATCACTGGGACACATAAAACATATAAACACACATGTCCAAATTAAAAAAAAAAACCTGTGTTTAACCTGGATGAAGAGAAAAGATGAAAGACACTTGGATTTATGTAAGTGTCATATCCATACTGATTGGAAAGTTATAAACAACCCCGTTATTCCCTAGAAAGTTGGTTAAAGATTAGCTCAGCAGTTGAGGGTAACGCAGAGTCTTCGAACTCAGAAATGGTTAGTCCAGTTAAGTTCTTGATCATTATACACATTTTTTTAAAGTAAATGAATATAATCTGAATTCACATCAGTTACGTTATCAGTCTCTTAATAATGGCACAATTAACATTATTCTAATAATCTATGAAAATTTCTTCAACTATTAAATATGCCCCTGCATAAATTTGTAACTCTTACAATGTTCATTTGAATATACATTAAATTATTAAATACAGTCTCTTATTTGCTATTCTGAATGTCATTTGAACTGTCCTTAATTATCTAAAAGTCAATAATGTTAAAACGCATATTTTCAACTGATGGTGTTCTGCATTTGTGGCTGACACTTAAAAGGAGGCTGCAAAAAGTTTAGACTTTCATATACCTCATTTTGAAGCACATTATCTTTTCTGTATTCTACATTAAAGCCACACAAAACCTTTCTTTTTTCATTTTTAGCACTTACATTTTAGTTGCTCTTGAGAATTATCCTTTCATATTCATAATCATTAATTTTTAACTAATGTAAACCTATTGTTTTGAATTGAAAAAATGAAGGTTTATTATACTTGAAACTCTTAAAGGTATATTGTTAAAATCAAGTATATATTTATATGTATATATACAACACATAAATATATATAATGAATCTTAATTCAAACAAGAAATTCACTCCATTAGAATTTTATTTTATTATGTTCTTAAATTTTCTTCCTTTAGCTTGAACCACACAGCAATAAAGTTGCCAAAGACTTCACAAAATGTTTGAATACCTCTTCTTTCTTTCACATAGCACTTAGCATTGACTCATAATATCTTAGCTCTGACAGAAGTGTTGCACAAACTATAATCTCAGTAAATACTGCTGTTTTATAAATAGACTAAAATTTGAAGATATAAAATATATTTTCAGAAATTAACCAGCTATTATGGCAGAGCCAAGGTTTAATTCAAATTCCTTCTTTTCTCTCCCATATCAGTGCATTGTTCTCCATTTCATTAAATCCTCTTTTATTGAATTGATTAAACATTTTGGGAAGGAGAGAGGATGTATTTACTGCCTTTGCTTGTGAGTACAAAATTTAACTCTGACAAAGAATGGCTAGTAAATATCTGTTGTGGTTATGGCTGCTCTTATTACTTCAATTTATCCTTCAGACAACCTTGTGATTTAGGCAGATGTACTATATTTTTCAAAATTTACAGATTAGCACATTAAGACACAAAGTTATTTGGGACTTATATCAAGATCTTTGTCGAAACAGACCCAAAATTCAGGCCTATGGATTTCAAATAATCATTCATTTTCTCCTGAAACATATATTACCCCAAATAATAACACATGATTTCTTCTCTTCCATTTTGGAAATTCCCACCATATTGATAAAATGAAAAAGAAATGATCACACCCTTGGAGTTCAGTGCTATAACAGAAAAAAAAATCTGAAAGTAAAAGTAAAATATTTGGAATATCAAAAATGATAAATATTACTCACATAAGTTGTTTAACATTTTCGTTATTTTTTGAAAAAATTAGAATCAGATATCAAAAAATAAGAATTGCCTATATTTTTGAGCCTGTTTGATGATGTGCTGACTTTCAGCATTTCTTAAGCCTCCAATCAAAATATTTTCCAACTAAGATTGTTTTCCTGACATCAGGCTTCTAGTTTTAATTGTCTGTTTTTCTCCATGAAATATCTTAGTATAAGAAGAAATAGTTTTTCTGATTAAAAAATGATTACCTGTAGTACTTAGAAGAAACCAAAAATATAACAAAATATTTCTTTTATATTAAAGTACAGTTGCAAATTATAATGTTGGCAGTAGTAGCAATAATAAGTGTAGCAGAATTAGCATGAGTGGCCACATAATATCACAGGAGTAGTTTAGATAGAACATTGAACAAATGCCATAAAGCCTGTATCCTAATCTATTCTGTTGTCAGTAATTAGTATTGTACTATTGGTCAAGTTCTTTTTTTAAAAAAAAAATCACTTTTATGTCTTTTTTTATGAGATGATTTGCTTGACCCCTCCATCTCTTTCTGACTCTAATATGCTGAATCTAATATCTGGACATTGAGATTTGGAGTGAAGGTGTTGTCAAATTCAATTCCTTACAAACTGAGGTCTAACAAACTTTAATAGGGAAGTTGGGATATATAACAGCTTCAAATGTGATCCAGAGTGATATCTGCTTTCATCAATGGTAATGAACTTAAGGAGAGACAATAAGCCAACAAAAGGAGATTAGAAAAACATTGAGTTGTATGAACTTGAAAGTTATAAGGAAGACAAAGCATTTCCTATAGCATTTCTCTTTGGATTTCTGAAGACATTCAATTACAGGAACTTAACAAATGTTTAATGAATGAAAGGATAAAAGTGACTGCCAGTTTGAAACAATGAATATAATTAAATTCTGAGGATTGGGTTAATTGAATTTTCTCCAGCTATTAAAAAGAATCTGAATCCAGGAAATCATAGGTTCAGTTCAAATATAACTCATGTTTAGTTCATAAGTCATTTACTACCTCAAGTCACTTTCTTCCAGAAGCTATTTTTCAGAAGTAAAGGATGAACACAGCATCCCTGAATGTGGAGTATATCTATGCCAGGAATCAGGGAAAATAAAATGAAAGGATATTGTAGAATGAATGAATTACAACTGTGTGACTTGAGCCTCATTTGAGAAGAAGAAGATGCACAACAGAAGCTTAGTTTAACATACAAAATATTTAACATAGAAACTGATATTTAAGTCTGCACAATTTACCAGAACACACTGGTATGTGTGAAATCCCAAGAGACAAGTCTATAGACTGGTAACTGAGACTGTGAAAATTGAAGGAAATTAAAGGGAACAAATACATTTCTTCTTGGGTAATTTTAAATAAACTCCCTCAATTGTCTTCATTTTTCATTTCCATGGAGGTTTTTGCTATGAATCCTAATAATCTAGACATGGTACAATCAATGGCACAAAATTTGAATAATTGGTTTTTATTGCTAAATCACAGGGACTTTTAAATCTAAAGTCATCAAAATTTGGCTATGAACAAAGGTTTATTAAAGAATAGACAAACTTTCAGAGAATTTCTGAAAAATATGTATGTTCTTGATTTTATAAATGCATGTACATTAAAACCTAAAATATATCCTAGGAAACAACTATTCATTGGAACCTATAATTTGAGCTTATCTGCATTTCCTGAGGACTATTCATGATTGATCTTATGAAATAATGAATGTATAAATAATTGTGTACTTTTTCTCAGAAGCAAAAATCATACTTTTAATAAAGGTTCAAATAATCTCTACTCATAAAAATCAATGGTTGAGTTTGAAAATATTATATTAGTCACTTGCTTTTTCTTGTCTGCTTCCTCATGAGGTTCTTTGAGGAAAACAAAAACATATACTTAAAATTTACAGTATTAATCAGGGATTTTAGTTACAAATAGCATATTTGGTTGCAAATAGCATAGTTTACAGAATCTCTAGCTGGGCCAAAAACAAGGCTTGAAGGCCACACAATTGGGGACCGTGCTCAATGACATAAGGTAGAGCTGATTGGAGGAAACACTGCTGCTCCTCCCAGTGTGCTCAGAATCTACAGATAAGGGGCAGTGGATGCCAGCATTCTAACTTCTTCATTGTCTGCTTTTGGAAGCTGCATGTCACCAGCATGGATTTGACAAGGGGTCTGAACTTTTGTCACTAATTTCTGATTCAATTTGGTGCATGTGGTTTCTAGATGGTAGGTAACATATCTGTGTCCATAGTATACCAAATCACCTGGCTTCAAAGTATGGGGGACATAATAGCATGTTCAAAGGCATAACACTTACTCCACTAGCACCAGCAGGCCATTTGGTGATGTCTCCACTCTAAATTAGAATAAATTCAAATTATGCAAGTTAATGAGTCATACAGCTTTACAATCTGCAAGCTGTAAGTCAGTTAGGATGTGGCATCTAAGGTCTTTGGGGAGAGAGAGTTGCAAGTGAGGCAGATGTTGTTAGACACATCTTCAGGGATGTGAGCTTAAGGAAAGTTAAGACTCTATCTCACATCAAGTCAGCCAAGCTTCATTCTTCATTGTGTCTATGCAACATACTATTAATTATTTTTGTCAAGAACAAATAAGATAAACTAACAAGAAAAAGAGATTCTGTAGGGGATTTTTTAATTCTTTCCTTTTTTATATTCAAAATTTATAATAAAAATATTTCAGAAAGTAATAGTAGTTAATGCTCATTAATCGTTTACTATATGCAGTACTTACTATTCATTTACTATATGCTAGGCATTGTTCTAAATATTTTATACATAATAACTCAAACTTCACAAATAATGAAATACTGAAATATTTTTGTTCCATTTTACATATAAGAGAAATAAGGCACAGCAAGTTTAAACAAATGGCCTATGGCAATACAGCTAGTAAGTGGCAGAACTGAGATTTGAACGTATGCAGTCTGACCACCTTGTCTCTTTTCTTCAACACCATTCTACATAGTCTAAATTAGACCCTGGAATAGGGATCCTAAATGCAAATAGAACACCAATGCTGGCTGCCCAATTAGAAACAGTTATACTAATAAACTATTATACAATACTTAATTATTAGAGTGACTACAAATCCATATTTGCATGGGACAATCCTGGGTTATTCCTCTGCCCTATTATTATAATGAATAGTGATCCTTTTATTCCTGAAATGGCCTGCTTTCAAAAATAAATTACAAAGTCATTTGATGAAAAAATGCATGTGTGATTTTAGAATACGGATTTTTGATATTTTAGAATATCAAAAAAAAAAGAATTGTAAATGTTAAAATGAAGGCTATCGAAGACCTTCTTTTTCTTATTCTTTGGAGGAGAGTCAGCTATTGTATTTAACATGTCATCAAAGTATAATAAATTAAATATATAAAATATTTCTGTGCACATACAAGCAGATTATTCACACATACTGTTGATTAAATTGGTTCATGCTATGTTTCTTCCACATATTTTACATAATAGAAAAACAATCATGGACTTAGTTTCTTTTGTACTTAGTAATGGATGAAATCATGGTTTTCCATGTTACCTCATATTTAATAAATTCTGGGAGATATAAGAAGCTAGAAAAATGGACAGGGCTTCCAACTTTTTTGAGGAGCCATTAATTATATTAATTAAACACATTTTTAAATCTGTCATCAATATTCCCAAGATTTCCAAAGCTTATGGTATGACCTTTTCTTTAAGGTGTGACATAGAAAACTTTGATTATCATTTTTGAAAAGAAAAATTATGGCATTATATAAATGGATCACAATTGCCATAAACCTATTATCTTATAATAATAGGTTTACAACCTATTATAACAGGCTTACAACTTATTAAAGAACTATAAATAATCTGAAAAACAAACCTAAAAAACCCTTCCAACTCCTTCTCCCCATTTGCAAAACTTAGAAAACCTTAAGAGAATAATTTCATGGAGCATGATTTAAATATTATAATAAATTCCTATCATTTATGTAACATGGTGATTACAATAAATTGTTTGTTTTTAAAAGTTCAACCCATCATTTTTTTATTTTTTTTTTTTGAGACGGAGTCTCGCTCTGTCGCCCAGGCTGGAGTGCAGTGGTGCGATCTCAGCTCACTGCAAGCTCCGCCTCCCGGGTCAATGCCATTCTCCTGCCTCAGCCTTCCGAGTAGCTGGGACTACAGGTGCCCACCACCACGCCCGGCTAATTTTTTGTATTTTTAGTAGAGACGGGGTTTCACTGTGTTAGCAAGGATGGTCTCGATCTCCTGACCTCGTGATCTGCCCGCCTCGGCCTCCCAAAGTGCTGGGATTACAGGCATGAGCCACCGCACCTGGCCCCAACCCATCATTTTTTCCAATACTTCTATAGAAACCAATAAATATTTAATATATTTTAAACCTATAAATATAAGACCAGTAGATGACTAACATTAAAAAGTAGCACACATATATGTGAAAAACATAATTTTCATAGAACAACAAATTACTTTTGACAAGATCATTCTAAAAAATTAAGGAAGCACGAATGCATTTTGTGTTGAATAATTGATGCTATCAGGGCTGACTGATAAGATCCTTATATATTACATATGTATTTCATAAATCCCATGATTCTTATCTTTTTTCTAATCTTCATTTTGTCTTTTGGGCAATGGTCTTGTGTTTGCTGCATAAGGTTATGAGTGATGTTAATGAGAGCATCTGTCACAACAGAAAAAGTCAAACTGTTATTATTAGGAGGCAGGTTTAAAGTTGCTCCTTAGCAAAGCAAAAACAAATAAAAACCATTGCTGATTTTGTACTTTGAAGAAGAAAATTAGCTGCTTCAATGCATTTTACAATGTAATATTGCTAATATTTCTAAATGAGAAAATAAATCACTACAGTTTCGGTAGGCCCAGAGTTTCCTTTTAATTTTTCAAAATCTATGTAGGTTTCTAATGATACTCTAATTAACTGTAATAGGTGTTTGCAACTGAAATTCAAAACAATACTAAAGAGAAATTTAGAGGTCGGTGCCTAAATTTGTCTTTAAATAAACTACCTGTAATATATAACTTAAATAAATTTCTGAAAATAGCACTTTCGTAGGTGGAAAACTGCTTTATTATTGTATTACACACATACACACACACACACACACGCATATTTCTGTTATATATTCACCTGTATTTCTATTGAAATACTGCCAATGACAATTCCCATTTACTAGGCTTTTCTTTTTCATAGCCAGTTCACCTCCAACTGTTTGTTTCTTCCTAAAGATGACACTTCATTTCCACCTTACATTTAAAAGTTTGGACTTAATTTTTTAGATAAATGAATATAGTTGAACTGAACATTCAAAAACAAAAAGTCTTATCAGCTCTCTATATTTTAATTTAAGGAAGTCTGCCTTTTAAGATAAAACAAATAGTAACTATATTAACTTTAGGCAAGTCATCTCCCTAAATTAATGCATGCAATATATTTCTGTTTGAAAGTCTGAAGGTGTCTCAATCAGTCTTATATATCACCTAGTTATTAAAAATAGAGCATTTATATTGATTTCTTCCACCCTTCTGTTTTGCTTTGCGAAGCTGCTACAATCAGACCAAGTCCAGAATGGAGTGGGAAGAGTGTAAAGATAAGCAGAAAACAGAGATTACAAATACAAGAATGAGAAGGGTTTGAAACTAACAACTTTGTCAGCTGGACGTGTGTACTGCAAAAGAGGCACAGAATTACCTAACACGTCCCAGCAGGAACCAATGTAGCATTCCTGGGATTGAATTTTGATGGCTCTTGATCAAGAAAACAGACAGGGTTTAAACAAGAGGTCATAGACTTGGGAGCACTTCTCACACATGAAATTTAACATACTCTGACACTTCTCAAGAGAAGACATTTATGCAGCCAAGACACATGAAAAAATGCTCATCATCACTGCCCATCAGAGAAATGCAAATCAAAACCACAATGAGATACCATCTCACACCAGTTAGAATGGCGATCATTAAAATGTCAGGAAACAACAGGTGCTGGAGAGGATGTGGAGAAATAGGAACACTTTTACACTGTTGGTGGGACTGTAAACTAGTTCAACCATTGTGGAAGACACTGTGGCGATTCCTCAGGGATCTAGAACTAGAAATACCATTTGACCCAGCCATCCCATTACTGGGTATATACCCAAAGGATTATAAATCATGCTGCTATAAAGACACATGCACATGTATGTTTATTGCAGCACTATTCGCAATAGCAAAGACTTGGAACCAACCCAAATGTCCAACAATAATAGACGATTAAGAAAATGTGGCACATATACACCATGGAATACTATGCAGCCATAAAAAATGATGAGTTCCTGTACTTTGTAGGGACATGGATGAAGCTGGAAACCATCATTCTCAGCAAACTATCGCAAGACAAAAAACCAAACACTGCATGTTCTCACTCATAGGTGGGAATTGAACAACGAGAACACATGGACACAGGAAGGGGAACATGGGGTCTGTTGTGAGGTAGGGGGAGGGAGGAGGTATAGCATTAGGAGATATAGCTAATGTCAAATGATGAGTTAATGGGTGCAGCACACCAACATGGCACATGTATACATATGTAACAAACCTGCATGTTGTGCACATGTACCCTAAAACTTAAAGTATAATAAAAAAAAAAAAAGAAAGAAAATTTAACATACTGGCTCACTACAAAATGGCTCTTAGAAGCCTGGAGAAAACAATTGTCCACACCAAGCAAAGTAGAAATGCCTGAGTTTTTCTGGCACACAGTACAAGAAGGAGTCTAAATGGTTCAGAAAAGTGACCTTGCAGTAAGGAATATCCAAAGTGAGATCAGACAACCACCAGGGGATTACATTCTGCAAGAATGTGCAAAGGACATCATACTCACTTACAAAAGTCATCAGCAATACACTGGTAAAGGGAGCACTGGCCCCAGTAACTTCAGTCATGGCCTTCTTCTGTAAGCCAAGGTGACGGTAGGCAGGTGGTCACAGAACTATATTTGATAGTAATAGAAAAGATGGGACCTCAATATTCCATCAACAGACCCCAAAGCAATAAAGGAGAAATAAAGTTTTTAATTGCTGGAAGCCAGGGGACCACAATGATTATAGTGACCAGCATTCAGAAAGAAAGGTAAGGATCTTGACCAACAGGAGTTAAGGAGATAATTAATAGAACATAGTGTCTGTAAAAGCAAAATAGTTGGGCAGAAATTTAATCCAAAAGAAAGTAGATTTCTTTGTCATTATTATATAATTTTCCTTGTGTTTTCTATAAGTCCTAGCCTTCATTAATTGGTGTGTTTTTCTTCATTTTTAGGCATTCAATAACCTCGTCTGTCTTTATTCATTAACCCATCTGATGTTTATTAAGGGTATATTATATGCTAGTTTTACTGGAGATATGACAGTGAACAAACCAATGTTCCTCTCCGCTTGGCACTTACATTCTCTAAAAGAAAGAGAGGCAAGAGAGAAATTAGCATGTGTATTATTCTGTTCTCATGCTGCTAATGAAGACATACCTGAGTCTGGGTAAAGGAAACAGGTTTAATAGACTCAGAGTTCCACATGGCTGGGGAGGCCTCACAATCATGGCAGAAGGGAAAGGAGAAGCAAAGGCACATAGCTCATGGCGGTAGGCAAAGGAAACATGTGCAGGGCAACTCCCCTTTATAAAACCATCAGATCTCATGAGACTTATTCACTATCACATGAACAGCCCAGAAAGACCCATCCCATGATTCAATTACCTCCCACCAGGTCCCTCCCACAACATGTGGGAATTATGGGAGCTATAATTCAAGATGAGATTTGGGTGGGGACACAGCCAAACCATATCACTATGCAAAGTGTCAGATGATAATCGCTGTTCTGGGTAAATTGGAAAAGGTTCCAGGAGTTGGTAGAGTAGTATAGCTTTATTGTTTTCTTGTCTCTTTCTTCCTGGTTAAATCAC